>NC_000011.10:35060000-35211515 GCF_000001405.40 Homo sapiens | reverse complement strand
TAATATGAAACTATATATTGTTTCTCTATATAGAGAAAGCAAACTAGATAATAAATGCCAAATTACCTGATAAGGAACGATTGACATTAGAGTTGGAATCTCCAACAGTAACTGCAGTAACTCCAAAGGACCCAGTCTTAGCTGAGGTCACTGGGATGAAGGTCCTGCTTTCCTTCGTGTGTGGGTAATGAGAGGTATAACCTTCCAGTAAAGTAGTTGAGCCTTCAGAATGATTTGGGTCTCTTCTTCCACCTGTGACATCATTCCTATCTGTGTGGAGGTGGAATCAGTGATGAACCCGTATTTGTAAGATCACCACCCACCATGTGCTTGTCTCCAGAACACACAATTGCTGCAAAAGCTTTCCACTTGTTATCCATAAATAGGGAGAAATAGAGTGAAGTTTGTCATACTATTGAACAGAATAAATATTTTGCAATAGACACTACTTGGACATCACTCAACAGAAGAGATTTTGGTGATCTTAATACCCAGAATTGGCATTTGTTGCAACATCTGCTTGGGTTATTAGGTAAGGCTATGTCACTACAACTGTGATCTTGAAGTCAGCTGAGGTACTAGATAATCTTGAGTTCTTTCTCAATTGGATTCATCTTTGATGTAGTGGAGGAAACATATCATTGGATTGAAAGATAAAATTTTGCTGCCTGCAATTAAAATAGCAAATGCATGGTTTCAAAGGCCTGAGGCTACTAATTTAATTATTCTTTTCTTTTCCAGAAGGGACTGCTTTTTAGTCATCAGCACCATGGAGGTCCAGAGGACAAAAGGCAAAACAATATTATTGTGAGGAATGTAAAGTGATATAATCAGACATTTACGCCAATTATAAATCACACTGCAAAAGAACTGAAATCATAGCAAACAGTCTATTGGACCACAGCGCAATCAAATTTGAAATCAAGACTAAGAAACTCACTCAAAACCATACAATTACATGGAAATTAAATAACCTGCTCCTGAATGACTTCTGGGTAAATAATGAAATTAATGCAGAAATCAAGAAGTTCTTTGAAACTAATAAGAACAAAGATACAACATATCAGAATCTCTGGGACACAGCTAAGGCAGTAGTAAGAGGGAAATTTATAGCACTAAATTTAAACGCCCACATAAAAAAGTTAGAAAGATCTCAAGTTAACAAAAATAAATAAATAAAATAAATCATATATAAGCAATCCATTATTGTTAAAACAAATCACTAACTCTAGAGTGAAAGAAACCCAACTTTTAAGATGAAGAAATGTAGTTTGCACTTAATGTACGAAGAGGTATATAAAACAGAAAAATCAGAGAACCACCACCAGACGCACCTTTTGATTAAAAGTAACAGTGTAACGGCAGCTAATGGATGCACCTCCACCAAAGACACTGCAAAAGTACCCATAATTGATTGATTCTTATCAATAGCTGAAGCCAACTAGGTTTTATAATCCTTACTGCTTGATGTCAGAGTAGAAGTTGTTGGATGGTCTTTATCTTCTTCCAAGCCTTCATGTGATGTAGAGAAGCTCTGAGAATTACTCTGCTCTGTTTCAATGAGGAATGAATCCAGTGTTAATTTGAAGCTACGGTACAAATCCTGTTATCTGCTAGCAAGGAAAATCTAGCTAGAGTAGAGTCAGATGGATAGGTGCATAGGAAGACCAAGGTTTGTGCACACAATTCTCCTCTGATTGATAGAAATATACAGAAGAATTCTATTTTGCCCCTATTTGGTTCTGAAGACCCTTTATTTCTCAGTATAATCATCAAAGGTAAAGTGGCAAGGTGAAGACTGAGCCAAAACTTTGCCTATCCTGGATTGTCCAGGCTCAATTGCAGCATTGCTCCCAGTCACTCCAGAAAACCAGAGAACACAGAGACATGGAAAAAAGAATATTTGAATCCCAATGCTCCTATCAGTAACCAAAAGCACCTAACTGTGTGTCAAGAAATGTGACGGCAGGGAAAATGAACACTATGATAGCCTGTAGTCTAGTTGTAACCACAAAAGAAAAAGAAGCCTATCTAGAATAGCCTACTCAAGTAACACAGATCAAATTTATACAAGGAAATACTTAGCTACCTTGTAAAGGTCATTAAATTAAAGTTACCATTTTACTCCATTATTAAGTTATTTCTTAATTTCACCTGTGCATTGGGATTTTCATCACTGCACCAAGGAAACGCTTGCCTGGGCAAACACAGGGCCCTCAGTGACATATATCAACTGGAGGTTGACCCATTGCCCATATCTAAAATCACTTGGACTGTTTCAAGTTTATTTCTTTTGTGTTCTTTTAAGAAAGGTACTGACCTGAGTTGCAGGTGCAAAAACTTCATAAAGCACACCCATAAGCCATGCCCACCACCGAATAAATATTACAACCAGGAGAAAGACAGTCACTAAATCCCAAACCCAATGTCAGAACAAAAGCCAACAGTGACATAAAACGGAAATATAAGTCCTTCTTTGGCAAGGACCATTCATAGGCTTATTTGCATCTCCTTTGATGCTTAACGCTGTGCTATTTACATTGCTGACCATCAATACATGCTTGCTGATTTTTTTCCTTTGCCTAAAGGGCTCATATGAAGGACTCTGCCCATTATGTGTGGCAAGCAGTAAAATGGGACCTTCTTAATTCTAGATTTCTTTTGTATTCCTCAAAGAAATTATGAACGACTTTAGGCTGATCTCTAGGACATCCCTGCACATAGAGTAGAAATTAAGGCTACTAGAATTTGAACATTTCTTAGTGATAGAAAGAGATACTAGCAATGTTTTGTTGTTGTTGTTGTTCCAGGGATCCCGCCACCTTTGTTGATTGTCAATAACATGCCTTGCCTCTCCTCTGAGAACTGATGTGATCTCTAGGATTATCTGGCCCCAAAAATGTCTTTTTACAACCATGCAAGCAATCCTACCCCTCTTCTGCACTGGCTGGAGGAAAGATGGACATTGAAAGGAAATGGTCAGTTAAAACATAGAGAAATCACTATCCTGGAAGTGGGCATGTGTTTCACTGACATAACTACTTAGAGAATGAAAATGGAGTTGAATAGAGTCCTACTTTTTCTTAAAACACAAAGTCATTAAATCTGGAAGGCACAAAGAAATGAAGGGAAAATCAGGTTGAGAGACCTCCACAAGAAATACAGACAATGAAGACAGTTTCACACTCTGGGCTGAAGTAAGCCACATAGCACCATTCCACCACCAAAGCTCTGCATCTTGGCCAATAGCGAGTAAGAGATGAAGCAGGAATACAAGTCAATAAAGTGGCTGAGCATCGTTATTCTTACGCGTTGTCATTGAAAGAGGTCCTGTCCTGTCCAAATCTTCCACCAAACCTGTGTTTGGATTTGCAGTAGGCTGAAGCGTTATACTATGACTGGAGTCCATATCTGAAGGAATCAATATTAGTGTTATTGCTTGATTTCCCAAACCACTACCTGAAGGTGGCTTATGGTCTACAGCTGATTTTTTTAAATATTCACATCTGGCCAAGAGGAAAGAAAGCACATACTGACTATATCTCCCGAACTGAGATAGATTATTGTTTCATCAAAGAGCACCACAACAAGTAACTGGCTTTCCTTGAAGGGCCGAGTTATATGAAAGCTATGCTGTGTGTTTGTTTTTGCTGAGTCTGGAAGGACTCCACATGAGTGCATGATGGAACACCCAAATCTTGCAGAGAGACAGAAACATTGCCTTTTTTATAGAAACATGCAATCTGACACATGGAGAAAAGACAAAGTGTGCTGGCTCAGGCACCATTTTATCCCCTCCCCCTTACCAACCAAAGGGACTTTTAAAAATAGCCCTCTTCCCCCCTTTAGTCTTTTTTTCTTCACAAAGTGAATATGCAAATAAACAGAATCGTCATCCAAGACCACCTAGGTGGAGTTACAGAAAGTATACAGGGGCAAGAAATAAGAAGCAGTGGACGTCATTGAATTATTCTTCCCAAAAACCCAAGTATAAGCGGTCTTTAAAATTTAACATGTACAATGTTGAGTAGTGCAGAAATTTCACTGAAATACTTGTAAATGTTGTTTTTAACAGTTATCACAGATCTACTCTGCTGAAATAAGAAGTCTTGAGTGAAACAGAGGCCAAACAATTCATAAACCCCATCGATATTTCTGGCTGTCAATTCAGTCAAAGTCTATCCACATCACTGCCTCTGGGGGAGATTTAATCAGTCCCAGTGAAGCACCAGAATACTGGGTACCCAGGTCTGCACTGCAGCCTTTCAACACTAAATATTCAAGATTCAACACTAAATATTCAACACTAAAATATTAAAGATCTTTGTAGGACAAAAATGTGGTGACCCTGTTATCCCAGATTTCAAACAAGAGCAAGTGCTAACCTGAATCAAAACCACAAATGGACATTCTCCCAGAAAAAGTCCCACTTGATGATGGGCTCTAGACTCTTGTTCATCTTCCCTCTTATAAGTAGAGTCCTTCAAGAGTCATCATACCATTGTGTAGTTGAAGCCAATTGTATTGTCCTTGACATGTTCATTAATTTAATGGAATCTCTTTCTCTTCATCAGTACATAGAATTAATATTGATTCTGAAGATCTTTGCCTGGCTTGGTTTTCCCCCATGGGTGTCCTCAGAGCTCCAGCTGCCATGTGCAAACTCATGTGTGCTGGGTCTGCCTGTGGTACTTCAGTCACTCAACATAATGGCCCCTGCCTAGCCATTCAAACACATCTTCCCTTGTGAAAAATGGATCCACTCACTGACATATTCATTCCTTGGCTTTTCTTCCTTCACGTTTCTCCTTACAGGAGTCTCCTTCTTAGGAAAACTGCCCCCCCCACCAACCCCCACCACCCACTTCCTTTCTCTGACTATCCAGGGTTTTTTTATTTTTCATAAACCAAGTCCAATTCACCTTTCTGTGATGCTGTGGTGGGCAGGGAGGGGTTCTCAGAATTTCTTTAGCGTTTATTGTTGGCAACATTCATTTCATATCTATTACTTACTGCCTCACACAGATATATTTTGACAATAAGTTTTTTCTTTTGCCAACCCTCCTGCTAAATTCCTTACTTTCAGCTCAGAACTTCATATTCAGGTGAATATGAGTATCACTCCTACCAAGAAAACTAATTTTTGAAGAACCTCAGGTCCTTCAGGAAAGTAGTTTGGTCTAAAACCAAGGGCATATTTCTAGAAAAATAGTCAGCAGTCACTCAGTGGATTTCAAAAAACATAATATATAAAAATCTCAGAGGCTATTACCCATCCTTCTTCCTGCTTGATGACCTCGTCCCATGGGGTGTGAGATTGGGTTGAAGAAATCAGTCCAGGAACTGTCCTCTGGGCTTGGTGTTGTCCTTCCTTGCATTGGATGGCTGGTATGAGCTGAGGCTGCTGTGACCATGCAGTTTGAGCAATTGTCAAAGTGTTAATGGACGCTTGGTCAGGGATACACCGATTTTATTTTTAAAAAAGACTTTATTCTCTAGACAAGACAATGAAACCATCTTCCTTGTATAGAGGGCAAGGAAGTTGCATAAACGCAGAATGTTTCAGCAGCTTTGGGTTCACTCATGCTCATTTTCTTCTTAGCAATCAGCATGTGAACTGGAGGACACAAAAGCATTAACAACTCCCGCAGTGCAGAAAGGATGAGTTACCGACATCAAAGGAAGATGAAGGAGAAGTACTTCTTGACCCATGCCATGCTGCCACAGTCCCCTAAAGGCAGAAGTATAAAAGCCCGAGTGCATGATGTTATTCTGAGACAACCATATTCCAGCCAAATGCACATTAGGCTGGAAGTGATCTCAGGAAAGGAATCAGGTAACAGCTTTCCATGTGATCAATATGAAAGTCAATGCCATTTATCTCAAAAGCATGAATGGAATCCGTTAGAAGCATTACCTTCTAACAATGGGATTTATGGCATAAATGACATATAAGAAAGCAGCACATGCCTTGCTTCATTCTGAGCCAATGAAGAAGTATAGGTAGAAAAGATTACAATAGCATCCTCTTAGCAACAACTACACCACATAGACAATCACAGAATCCATTGCTCTGCCAGGAATTCATTTAGAACTTGCCATGCCCCAGAAGGACATGATGCATTATCTTCTATGTTGCAAATAGAAATATGGGAATATTTCTCACTGATACCAAGTGAGAATATGGAATTCACATTCTTTATAAGGCAGGACACATTTTAATACTTATGTCACACAGACAAAAGAATCCTGCATGGGAGCTTGCAAAGCCAAGTTATCTGGTATCACTTAGAGATGATGATAAGACTGGATTCCAATTTCCACAATCTCACAATTCAAGAATAGAGAAGATACCTTTTTTATACTCAAAAACAAATTACTGAACAGGCATGGCCAAAAGGCCAAATGACATCAGACAGGTGTCACTTTTCACATAATGTCTGGCTCTATTTCTTCAAACACTGGAGTTCTGACAAAATGCTTTCTCACAGCCAGACTTTGCAGAATCATATTGTAAAGTCTGGACCCACATTATAGAGTAGATTCCTTTATACAACAGACAGCGATATTTTATCAGGGCCTCTGCTACAATCTCACTAGATGATGCCCAAAACTCGATGTGAAAGAGACATGTTCAAGGGCATTTTCTCTGTGTTTCCTGTTCTTATTCATAACTGGCTTGTATCCATTCCTGTTCAGGTGACTTGTTATGAGCCTTTAAGGTTTGGCTCTGTGTGAACTGCAGCATAATTTATTAAGTAACCTAACATCTCGTGACAATTCCTCCAGTGTCCTTTTGTTCAATGTCCTCAATGTCTACCGTTTAACCCAAAAGGAAGTTTCCATCCAAATTTACTTGTTAAACCATCCATTACCAGCTGTCCCTGTTGTCGAATGGGAGTCTTCTTTGGGTGTTTGGCGATATCCCTCATGCCATCTGTTGCCAAACCACTGTTCCTTCTGGGTAGCTGTTTCTTCCGTTGTACTACTAGGAGTTGCCTGGACTGTGAGAAGAATATCAGTTGGGAGACATAATTGTCTATTTTCCTCACCAATAGCTGTCAACATATCTTTCTACTTTAAGGGCAGATACACATGGGGAGGGAAGGTAGAAAAGAAAGGCACCAAGGAAACAGGCCACTGATATTCTAAAAGGGATATGAGAAATCAAATGATCCAAATGTTTAATTTTTCAGCTAGGAAAATTGTGGTCCAAAGAAGTTTTGATTTGTTCAAAATCATAGGACTAAGCAGACCATAGCTGATGAATTCTCATAGTTCTATGAGTTATTATTATTTTTATTTTACTGTAGTGAATGGCTTCACATACCCTGTCTGAGAAAACCATTCAAAGAATAACCTCTTTGCTCCAGTCATTTTGACGAAAGGAAAACACTGTATAACAGCTAATAACAAGATCAGCACATTAGGAGACCTTCTCAAATGGTGGTCATGTAACCCATAATCGCACACACTGGAAATGCACCAGCAGTGGATTTGCCCAGCAGGAAAGATGGTGGGATGGCTTGGATGCTATTCCACTAACACAGTATTTGGTGATGTCCACATGGCACCTAAAATTGCTAAAATCACTTTTTAACAAAATTAATTCAGTTGACGAAAACTATCCAAGCCAGTTTGAGGCATTATATAAATAATAGTGTGTGACAGGCTTAAAATTTCAACCATCATTTTAAAAAGGACAAAATCAAGAGAATATAATTCCATCAAGGTGTCTTCAGGAAAAGTCAGAAAGACACCAACATTTTTGTCTATAGCAGCTTGTAGCAATTTCTTTTTTTTTTTTAGTTTATCAAGAAAATGAGAGTCTATAAACTTGCCAAGCCAGAGTACTTTTTTGCAACTTGTAAAAATGGTTGTATTTCCTTATCTTAGAAAATGATATGTGTGATTTGGTGACAGTAATGACATTTAAAAAATATAACTGTCCTCATTTTACCCTTCCATCGGCCAAGCCATTATTGGGTTAACTGGTTATCCAGGAGGAGGGGGAAAAAAGCCAAAATCTTAAGTTTTACAAAACTCCCACTGACTAAATCACTAATTCCCAATAAATAATGAAGTTACAAAAACCACTGAATGTAATTACAAAAAAGGGAAAACTGACCCAAACATAGACTGCTATGTTACTCAAAGTTTAAATAAAAGAAATAAGGAAGTGTATGTGTGTGACTGTATAGAACACTATGCTCCTTCTATCACTAATTTTATAAACATAATGATTTTTTTAAGTACCCATAACTCTTAATTGTTTTCAGCCTAAATAGGAATGGGTTAGCAAAACATATGATTTCTATTGTAAAAGATGAAGGTTGACTTTCTTCTAGAAGTTGTGATGTTAATTTGATAAAGCCCAGAGGTCACCAATCAGATCCCTTTGAGTTTCGCAAATATTCATAAGATAATTGTTACAGTTGTTGCTGTCTTCTCTTTGTCAAGTTACATTCTGTCTGAATTTTCACCAACCCTCTAGTCCTAATGCCCCGCAAGCACCACCTTTTGACAATAGGCTCATTATTTCCAAGTCTCTAAAGTAGCTTTCTGGTCTTTAAGTACAAACTGTCTAAAATAATTTCTAAGGTATACTGTTAGGGCTCTAAGGGAGTGGAACAAAATCCTATTCCAAAGAGATTTATGCTTCCTCTGTATTTCCTTTTCTTATCAGACTTCTTTGTTAACTTAACCCCTAAGCCGTATGTATACAACACACCTACTGGGGTTTGTAATGGGATGTAAGATCTGCTGGATATATTCAGTACAATGTCTAACCTCTATCCTAACTGATACCTGAAACTTTTCTTTTGTTATCTGAAGGCACCCCTCAAGCCATAGATTCCCAAAGCCCTTTGGTTTTTAAGTGGCTTTTAAGTGGCTCACATTTCCCCATTAGGTGTATCTAGGGCTGTGAGAATGACAGTTGGGTCATCATTTTAAAAATGCTAAAAAGCTGTTTTCCAAAATAAATACTTTTATTCCAAATAAGATAGACATATCTCAGCGGGATAGATAAAAGAAGAAAAGCACATACTTCTTATGTTTGGGGAGTGAGGGGGCCCCCTATTCTCACAGTCCACTGCCGCAACTTGAGATTGTTTTGGAAAACCTGAGTTTTCATAATAGTAGAAATAACAGTAAGAGCATCAAAGCCTTCCCCAAGTTACCATGGGCTTAAAAACAGAAAAAGAAGCAGTGGTAGAATTCAAATGAAGACCATAAGAGCTACCAACTTTGCTCTAAAGAGTACAAGGGATGTCTTTCTATAGAACAGTCAGGGACAGAATGCAAAAAAGACACTGTATTCATCAAAGATCTTCATAGAAAATAAGGATTCCAAAGATCAATTCACTTGACAAACTTTCTTTCCAGATTCCACTACTAAGCACCAAAAGAACACACTCTTTGCCACACATTTCAATGAACACACACAAGTTACCCAAATGGAACCTCTAGGAACCTTTAACACAAAAATTGTATCTAGATCTACTTCTTAAAACATTTTGGCCTTTGGGCAACCTGATGAGTTATCATTTTCCTTCCAATTTTTAAAATTTGTGTGCGGGTTTAGCAGCTTTTCAGGCTCTAAGAATAAAAGAAATTACCGAGTGGAAATAGAAGATGCGGCCAATTTCTAAACAAAATCTTCCCTATTGCTGGAATGTCTTTACTAATTCATCTAACCCAGAACTGCCGACCGCCATCTTGCTTACTTGTGCTTGTAGAATGTGGGGTCTCTTCTTCCTCATGATGCTCATGGTGAATGAGGGGAGGGTGTGCTTCTGGGTTCCAGTTTCCTTCATAAGCAGTGGTGCCATTTCTGTCTACATCTGCTGTGATGATGGTTAAATACACTGTGACTTGTTATCAACCAATCTTTAATGATTCTATTCTTCCATTAAAGTGCATGCTATTTAACAATTCTATGCCAAAGTGTTACCTCTGAGCATCCACTCTCAAAAATTTTGAGTGACTTTACCTAATTGGTCTCAAGAGAAAATCAATGGGCTTGGAATTTCTTCATGTTCCCTTATTATTCCACTATGATCAGTTTGTCAAAGGCAGAACCACAAACCATTCAAACATATTCATTTTTATCATGAAGCAACATAAAAAATCCTGTGCCCACATGGTATAATTGATAAATGACTCCTAAATGGAATTAAGTATCCTCATAAAAGTCCACTAAGAATTTCTTGATCAGATATTAACTAAATTTCCCACTGTGCCTCGATGATTGACCTTTGCAGCATCATGGGCTTTGAGGGGAAAAAAATCTTTCATTAAATATGCAGAACCCATTACCAGTCATCCTTGTGGTTGTCTGAAGTAGCACTTCCGGATTTGAATGGCTTGGGTTCCACTGGGTCCAGTCCTGGTTCTGTTTTGTGTGGTCAAAAGCCCGTGGTGTGGTTGAAACTGTGATAACGATGATTGAAGCAATTAGAAAAATGTTATTTCTTGAGCCTTCGCCACTTGTCCCGCACATAGTCTTGCTTCTGTAGGCTATGCAATGAATCATCTATACCAGGTTGTATAGATGGCTGCATGGAAATGGAGGGAAAGCGGAGGGTGACTTCAGCTTAATTCAGCCATATTGGTAAGCATCTCAGTGTCCTTTGCATTCTGTCATAGAATACCTTGGGGTTCAGAACATGAGATCTTCCAGATAAAACAGTCAAAGAAGCTGCAGCAGTAGGAAGGACAGCTTTGAAAACACCAGCCCTCCACCGAGGATAACCAAAGGCGCCATTTTGCCCATCCATGCAGTCTGTAGTATCCCTCTGCACTTGAAAGCCCAGGGACTTAGTCACTGTGTGCTGTTTGTAGATCCTCCGGGTGAAGAGGCAGATAACTGAAAGTTATACCATGATAATCACTTTATGTTGTTAGTAATTTCAGTGGGGAAAGGAATGCCTGAGCAGCTAGAGCTTTCCTATAGATGATTCTGAAAAAGAATACCTAGAATAGCCATATGTTTTAGCGATACATTTCTGAATATTTATCAAACACTATGGTATTCTCATCAAATACAAAATATGTCATGAGCAAGCCATTCATAGCCAGTGAAAGAAAATAAGACACCACAGGTAACCAGCCACCATCATAGCAGCACACTGGAAAGAAAGAGGCGTACATCCACCAGCACCCTGATATTGTCACCCAATCTGTTAGGGCTGGAATAAGAGATGCACCTAACAGAAGGATCATGACAAAATCTGAGTCAACATGTTTTGTGAAAGGTTATTTGCAAATCCATCCTAATTGTTTCAAACTTTATTTTGATACCCAAATAACGCAAAACTGTTTTCAGAACTATAATACTGTCAGCTCTATTTTACAAGTTATGAAAAATCAAGTTTAGAATCATTAACCACATTCTCAATAGGCCTGAAAAAGTGCTTATTATCAAGCAGTTATCACACCCCTCCAGAAGAAAGAGGGCATCATGTTGAATTATGTCCATAGGTGCTAAGCAGAAAAGAAAAAAAAAGAAAAGCAGAAATTGGAAAAATATGCCATAGAGATTTAAAAAATTAAAAAAAAAAAAAAAAAAAAAAAAAAACAACACCATGGGAAATTTTTCCCTGAAGCCTGACCATACAATTCATTTACAGGTAGATCTGTTTGGGTTACCACCCAAGGGAATTTAATTTCTTCAGTATCAAGACCACGTATTTACTGATGGGCCCATCTGCAAAGCTGGGCCACATGCTGAACACAGGAGACAGTATAATGTAAAACTCCAGTGTTTTTGATTATTTGGTTTTTGTTCTGAAGTTACCAAAAGGAATTTTCTTATTCCATAGATTAAGCTCTGGAGGGGTGTCGGGTCTAAAAAAAAAATCACTTAAAAGTTTAGATAGAAAATTCTAGTTCCTTTTGAGTATTTGTCATATCAATGTTATATACTCAGATGCCTTCAAGGCCTAAGCTATTTTTTTTTCTGGACCCTTTCTTCTCTGTCCATTTGAGGATGAAATTCTCAGATTTTAATGGAATGGATAGAACTTCAGTGAATTGGGAGAGCTCACACAGCACCCCAAAAGCCTTTTTTCTAAGGAAAAGCAGAACTGTGATGGAGTCAGGTTCAGGATTCTCAGCTCTGTTCAGCAAAATCTTAAGTCATTACAGGTATGTGTGGAAAACTCAGTAATCTGGCAGAATATTAGACCAACCTTTGCATGTTTTTAACTTTTTAAGGATATCTTTAAAGCTCAATTTCCATCTCTTTGTTCTCAAAAAGTTTTATAATTGTCAAAAATTTGGATACTATTATGTACCAATAGTGGTTTCATTATTTGCTTTTAATAAGTGGCAATGTCTTGCTAAAGCTAACCTGACATTTGCCCTTCCCTTCAAGGTCTTTCTGCTATATTGGTGTCCAGCTCATTTGTTAAAACTCTGGATTTGTTCCTTTGACCTCAGCTGGGCTTTGATTAACTAAGATAATTCTTGAGTTCTAGCTCCCATCATTTAAGCCTTTAGGGCCTTCAATTTAGGAACTTCCACAACTTTTTTTTTTTTTTTTTGAGATGGAGTCTGGCTCTGTCACCCAGGTTAGAGTGCTGGAGTGCAGTGGCGCGATCTCCTCCTGGGTTCACACCATTCTCCTGCCTCAGCCTCCCGAATAGCTAGGACTACAGGCACCCGCCACTACGCCTGGTTAATTTTTTGTATTTTTTAGTAGAGATGGGGTTTCACTGTGTTAGCCAGGATGGTCTCGATCTCCTGACCTCGTCATCTGCCCGCCTCGGCCTCCCAGGGTGCTGGGATTACAGGTGTGAGCCACCACGCCTGGCCTACAACTTTTAATTAATACCCTCCTCATCACATTCTTCAAGTCTATTGCTCCAACAGACCATGAGCTTCTGAAAAGCAAAGGCTCTGGCTCTTTTCATCTTCGTGTTTCCAGCACCTAGCACAGTAAGTACACAATGTACATTTTTTGTACTGTTTTAATGTCATTCTCTGATAAAGCCTGATCATTCAAAGACAATCTGTAGCAGTAGATCCCATAGATAAATAAAACAGGAAGAACATGAGACAAGAGAAATTTTGTGAGATATTTTCCCCACTTCTCAAAACATTCTATTTCTTCTTCCATAATCTCATCAAGATATAACTAAGGTATGATCATAGGTTCACCCATTTTTCACATTAACTACTTCTCAAGAGAGATACAATTTGGTATCACTCAGATTAATCAATAAGCCTTGCATAAATGGCTGTACTGTAATTGATTATTCTTACTGGTGCTGGAGATAAAATCTTCATCATCATCAATGCCTGATCCAGAAAAACTGAGGTGTCTGTCTCTTTCATCTTCATTTTCTTCATTTGGCTCCCAGCCTGCTGAGATGGTATTTGAAGACGTACCTGTTGTGGTGACTTGCATTAGTGGCTGAGCTGGACGCCAAGCAACCCACTTGCAAAGGAAGAAAATCAGGCACAGAAGGTATAATGGATTTCCCAGGATTTTTAAAAGAAAGTGAGGGAGTTGACTTGCATACCCCAAATTCTTATGTTCTGATCTCCGAAGCTAATACATAAATCTCAAAACAAGTGGCTATGATCTTTAAAACTGAATATTCTCTTTAAGAAAGCTGAAAGAATAAGTGTGGACATAATCTCACCATATAAGTTTTTAAAGGCTAATGAAAACTCCCCCACACTTTCAGATATGTTTATTATTAACTCATTAACCATATGCCATTAAAGCCAAGCCATCAAGAACAGAATGGAAAGGTTTCACACGTGCCTTTTTTTTTTTTTTTTTTGGTCAAGACACCTTCAGAAAAATGTTGGAATCTACACCTACGTCAGTCATTTCATTGTGTTCACAATTTGCTAATTCATTTTTTATCTTCTCTAGTATCAGATCAGATCAGTGTACCTCCAAACAGAGATGGAAGCTACACTGCAGTTCCCAATACTACTTCAGCATAGAGCAAAAATGTGAAGCCAATTAACAGAGAAATCATTTTTGGCATTATTAGGCAATCAAAGGGGTTAACTAAAGTGAACTGTGGTTCAGAAATTGAGAAATTCTTTTTCTTTTTGAATAAAAAAAGGAGATGAAAAACTTCCACTTCTTCTCAGTGGTTACTGTAGAAGATGTCTCTTTACTAAAAAGGGGTTTTCTACATTTTAAATGAGATTCAGGCTATCTTAGGGAATGAGCATTTGTCTTTTCATATGATTAGTGTCTACCCCAAGAATAGTTCCATTGATGAAGATTTTCTATATTTTTTCATATCTAGCTATGCTATTTCCTCATGAAAGTCCAAGACTTTTTATGACTGTGGTAATTTTAGAATATACATGAATGATCTTTCAGAGTCACAATTTTGCCATATCGTTAAAAAAACTTATTCCCGTTTCATAGTCTCTGTATTAGCCTTCTCCTGGTCTATACTAATCCATAGATTAGAAAGAAGAAATCTGCTTATTGGTGCCATACAAGCAAACAAACAGATACCAGAGTTAATGATCCTTCTGAAGTCATAACGAAAATTTGTGAGAATAGAAGGAACGTTAGGCTTTAATAACATCCCAGAGGTCAATCAAAATTATTCAAGGCTGTCAAGAAAACATACGCTATGAGATAATAATAACTCATTACCAGCCATTTGTGTTGTTGTGTGAAGATGATTCTTTGACTCTGATGGTAGAAACAACCATGAAAACCAATCCCAGGTTTCTTGCCTCTTGGTTGCTGTCTCAGTTGCTGTAGCACTAGTGCTCATCAAAGCTGTTGTAATCATGATTGAATTGATTGTTGAAAGATTAATTAACGGTTCCTAAGAAATAGCATTGAATATGCTTGTACTCTTTTACTACTCAAGAGAATCATCTATATTTGATATAGATGGTGAAAAGAAAGGGAAAAAGCAAAAAAGTTCCATTTTTTTCAGAGACTCAAACTGAAGTTTATAGAATGTCAGAGAGGGAAGGATCTTAAATGTCATCTGGTTCATGCTCCTTATATTAAAGATTTAAAAATTTTGCTGGACAGAGCTTCTGACCTGTCTGAAGTCAGAAGCCTAATTAGCAAGAGTGAGGGCTCCAGGAACGCATGACAGCCGTCTTTGAATTTTGAAAGTCTATATAATGTAAAAGAGGGATTAAACTTTTTTGCCTCTGGATCCATGAGGCCAAATTAGGATCTGTGGTGAAAATTTCAGGAAGAGGAATGTTCTTCCAAATGTTGGATTTAAAAAACCAATAATCTGAACTATCCAACAATGAACTTCTTCATAAAGTATTATGTTTCCCATAGTCAGGAAGATCACTTGGCAAGAAAGTTGTGTAAGAGATTAAATTATTAGAAGTGTTGATTGAACCAGACCATTTAACATCCTTTCCAAACCTGAGAGTTTATGATTCTAAAACCCAGCTCTTCAGAGTCCTAGCTCCTTAATCTTCTATACAATCTTGGGCAACCAATATCATTCTCCAAGAATTTAGGATATGATATTTCTGCCAGCAATAGATACATAATCTTAGCAATCCAACACACAGGGAAAATGACATAGAAGTAGAAGATTGAAAAATATGCCTCTACACTTTTCTCCATTTAGATTCCAAATCCTCTCACAACCTTGCCCAAGGTAATTTCTTATGTGAAACTATATTTTGCAAAGCAGAACAGGACATTTTGAGTCTCATTCTTTGAAAATAGGATAATCAATCAGGAAAGACAGACAGAGATGAAGTGACCCCAATGATCTTGCTAATAAGACCAGAAGCAAGAGTCTTGATTTAAAAATCTCCAAAGACTGCCATTTCTATAACCAATAATGCCCAAAAATGTGCATTGGAAGAATATGAGCTAACAGTAGACAAAAAACTGAGAACAAGTTCAAGCAGAGAGGCTGAAACCATCATCCCCAAACAAAATAGTAAGGTGAGTTAGATTTTTTTTTCAGCTATCAAGAAAGCCCAAAAATGAACCAAGAAGATGAAACACTGCCAAAAAGACCTTTTCCTTCACATTCTTTGTCCTATGAAGATAAACATTGTCAACATTTAAAAATAGCATTGTCTTTATTCTGCAATCTCTGTATCCCCCCTCCCCACCCCTGCATGATCTTAGACATTGTGATATGGCAACCATAACATAACATGAGCACTATTTTCCTCACGATTATTTATAGAAGTAAAGAATATAATTTATCCAATGTCATATAAGGCAAACAAATGTAAAGAATAATTTTTCCATGTTTATTATCCCCCTCTGCAGAAAGAATGCCTAGTTATTTTGAAATATGGCCATTAACTCCATCAATGAAAGTTAATAAATGAGGGTGTCCTTGTAATCTCCCATATTTACAGGCCTTGAATCGTTTTTCCCCAAAGCTCCTGTAACAATACACTTTGCAGGGATATAGAGCTAAGAGCCACACACCCAGGGAGCTGGTTAGAGGCCTAGATTCTGATATGGAGCAACAGGTCATTTCCTACACTTTACAGTTGAGATTTTAAGTGTCCAAAGAAGGGTTCAGGGCCTACACTTTGATGAGAGAAATCTGCATTTCCTTCTCTTATTACTGGCTGTGAGAATCAGATCAGCAGAAAGGAGAAGCCTGCACTTTCCGGCAGACTTCTTTCTAAAGGACATTTTCTCATTGAATCACACAGTCAATTCATTCATTTGTAGTTTTTCATAATTTCATTCATTCATTCAAAACTATTGATTCATAGTTTTTCCTTCCTCTGATGGAAAAATCATTCTGATTCTATATACACATTGCCAAAAGGAAAACATACAGGACATTTAAGAATATCAATCATATCCCCAGATCCACAGGCCTTTCTGATATATGAAGTGGTACAAGACCCTATTCTCACTAAGAATGATGAAGGAGATTTGACGTGATAATGGACGTCCTCTCCCCTAACACTAAAAGGTCTGACATCCAGGAGAGCTGATAAGCAAAAGACAAAGCAGTTTACCTGTCGTTGCTGTTGTTGTGAGATCCTGAGTCTTAGGCTGTGAATTACCAAACCAGGACCATATCTAGTTATTTTGCTCCTGAGCTGTTGCGTGGCTGTTTGAGTGCACAGTTGAAGTAACTGGATCAATTATGAAAGTATCACTTAGTGATATTCCCTCTACAAATCTTTACTTTCAGTTCTGCCTATATATGATGTCTGTATCTATTATTGAATGATAATTAGAAAAGAAAATCTAGGCCTGGTTTTATCTTTCCAGACTCCTAATGTCTCCCACAATCTTAGGACAACATCAGAAATGCAAATTCCTCATGGGTATAAATTTCATGCTACTCATTCTTCAAACTGAATCCCCTGAATTCATGATCAAAGCAAAATCAAGCAGCAATTTAATAACCTGTGAAGGAAAGAGATTTTCTATTTACTTGATTGGGCGACTGAGCCATGAGCTGGAGGTTTTCGAAGCAGCATTTCAAACGACTGCTTTCATGCATTTATCTTTGGATTATCTTTGGGTTGCTAGTGTGTATTTTTCACATCTGTCTAGCATTGTACCCAGGTAGTTTGTGATGACAACTGGCATTTCAAAGCTCCGCCCACACGCATCAGCCTCAGGTCAAACTTCATACTTGAGCAGGAACTTTGCAAAGAAAATGTGTTCAAAGTGTCGAAATCAGATAAAACTTCCTCAGGTATCCATCTATCATTTCTGTCACTTTTTATTCTAATTCAATATGTGTTTCTACCAAAAACTAGAGTTGCCAAAGTTAGAGAAATTCCAGACTTTTCTCAAATTAGAGAAAATATCATCAGTAACATTTTGCAATTTAAAATCTCTCATTCGACTCTCAAGTTTGACTTGAGTCCAGCATGTTTTCTTATTGAAATGGAATGGCAAAAACCATCAGGATAAATATCTAATTTAAGCCAGCTGAGATTTTAAAAAGCCACTTTAAATTATATATCCCTTTGAAAATCTACGTTATGTCCTCCTTCCTCAAAAAAGTGATGCTACATATACACACTCAAAATTTTGCATATTATTTCAGATAGTTCTAGAATGCCTTATGGTCTACCATTGAACCTACTGAAGGTCCATGAACCCTAGGTTAAAAACTTTGACTCTATCTATATAAAATGCCAACAGCTGGCACAGTATGTTCTGTCCTCTAAATCAAGCTTGTCCAACCCGTAGCCTGTGGGCCACCTGTGATGCAGGATGGCTTTGAATGTGGCCCAACAAAAATTCATAAACTTTCTTAAAACATTATAAGCTTTTTTTGTTGTTGTTATCCCATCAGCTATGGCTAGTGTTAGTGTATTTTATGTGTGGCCCAGGACAATTCTTCTTCCAATGTGGCCCAGGGAAGCCAAAAGACTGGACACCCCTGCTGCAAAGGACACATTAGTTCAGAACAGAGAGTAGAGAAATAGGAGCCAATTTTACCCATGAAGCCTCCAGACAAACCTGAGCATCCCCGGGAAAATCCACAGACACCACATTCTCACCTCAGAAACTTTATTAAAGATGCATAATTCCCACCACCCTCACCCAATAGTACAACAGGAAAAAATAGTACCAGAGGAAACAAACCTACAAGAACAAGATAGAAATAGGCGTTATTTTTGTCTTCCTGAAAGGAGTGGTATGAGGGGGAAAAATGGAAAAAGCTACTGCCTAGCCAGCAGAATTTCTAATTTTCCCCACCCAAATAGGCCATACCAGATCTGAAAAAAAAAAAAAAAAAAAAGAAAGAATTCCTTTGACACCCAGAAGACAAGGAAATACAGTGTTCCAAGGCAGGAGTCTGCTTCCTGAATTAGTTTAGGTTTCTTGATCCCAGAGAGTTCCAGGTCACCAATAGGAAGAGGCTGATGACACTCAAGATAAACAGCCTGCTGGAAGCCTAAAGCTACCCAGATGGTTATTCTTACTAGCTGTCCCTATTGCCACCCACTACAGGCCCTTCAGGAAGGAATGAGCCAGCCGAGCCAAAGACCGCTTCTTCTGTGCTCTCAGCCAGCACTCCTCTTGACCCCTGCCCTCCTGCAATGCATGAGGGAGGCTTTGCAATCACTCCCTGTCACTCTGTCCCAGCTCTCAGTCCAACAGTGATAAGGTTTTGCAAATCTCCTCACTGGACTTTAGAAATACGATTCTACTCAGGAACCTAACAGTGCTGACTTTTCCTGGCATGCCATTATGCTACGTTCAAGTTTCCACCAGGTTGTTTGCCTTGGTATGTTTCTTTGCATGAAGTGATCCACTTGGAGCTGCTACTGGTCCCATTGGGTCCTATAGTACTTCAGTGACTCTCAGGTTAGCCCTGGACTCATTTGGTAGACTCATTAGTCTCTTTCTTTTTTAGCTGCTGAAGGAAACTTAACTAATTTATCTGGGAGGAGAAAGGCACAATTCATTTCTCAGCTCAAATCCTGAACTATGTTTTAGTTAAATCTCATAAACACTCCTTTTCCCTGATTTCTAAACCAATAATATGTAGTCTCCATGAAGGTAAGTCCAACTCTGAATTCCTAGCATCCTAGAGCAGTGTCTGGCATACAGAAGACCTCAGATATTG
This sequence comes from Homo sapiens, assembly GCF_000001405.40. Classification (NCBI taxonomy): domain Eukaryota; kingdom Metazoa; phylum Chordata; class Mammalia; order Primates; family Hominidae; genus Homo; species Homo sapiens. Next base: position 35,191,959 of record NC_000011.10, on the reverse strand, counting down.
ATTGAATGAATAAATATCTCAGTAATCCTTGCCTCTCTTCAATATTACTTCCTAACTATGTTTATCCTTCGATCCCAAGCATTCTAATAGGCCTGGTACGTAGTAGGTTCTCAAAATACGTTTGCTGACTAACTTAGGAAGGGAAGATACAGTTCTTAAGAGATATTCTATAGGGGTTAATGAAATGTGTGTTTTTAAAACACACATGAAATACTATTTTATATAGGCTATTAGTGGTTTGAATGTTAACTACATATAGTCCCAAGTTATGTTTTATCAGGATTTTCTTCTTTGGTGGGAAGTGGTACTTTAGGGTAGACCTATTCTCCTTCCTGCTGAGACCACTAATTATTGTGTTCGCTAACATCCGACAAAATTGCCTACCATAATGATAAGCACCTTCGACATGGTTACTTTAAAAAGACAGGGAACCCAAGAAGCAGTGAGTAGCTAGCAGCACGGCCCGCTTGGTTTGCAGAAGCCTCTCTCAAGAAGGGTTGCCCACGGGACTACCAACAATAAGCCGATGCAAACTCAAGAGGGCCAATAACCCAAGAAAGTATGGGCAGCTTGAAAACTCTGCTTTTTAAAAAGCTTCAAAGAATGTGCAGGGAGTGATGGGAACCCCAAGCCTATTTGTATCATGCCCTCAGCCAGAGACTGACAGAAATTTAAAACACTATTGCGCAAGTGACCTTAAATGAAATCACAGTACTGTGGGGGTTTCCCTGGCTTCTGGGTGACAAGGAATAGAGAAGGGCCCTGTCTTGAGTATTCACAAGCCAGCGCATTTCTGCCACACTCTTTGGAGGCCCAAGTTTCACCCCTCAGGAGCTATAGCCAGGAAAAGAGAACATCCACACCATACTAGGAAAACCGCTCCAGAGGCAGATGCCCTATTTGAGTTTGATTAATCCTCCACAGGAGGAACATGGCCCATCTGGGAGCCCATTTCAAAACAAACCATAGAAGAAAAGCAAAGAGGGAAACAGGAGACAAGAGAGATGTAAACACTTTCCAGTGGAGCTGAAGCGCGAGGGGCAAACTCCAAAGGAATGGAACGCAATGTTTACATACTTCCACTCTTGCAACCCTAAGTAATGAATTACCCCCACACACCAAGTAAGTATTGAGAACATTCCCCAACAGGCTGGATTATAGAGCTCTTAAGCTGATTTAATTTCACCAGAAAACTCTTCCAGATATGCTTCCTTGGACTAAAAACAAAGGAATTGTTGAGTAAATTATCGTTGGTGAAAATCACTGAATATTACACTATCAATAGTATGAATGTAAATCAAGTTAAAACATAAAAAGCCACAGTTGACCCACGTATGCCTACTGTTCCATTATTGGAAAGCTAAGCATGTGGGAGTTATTTATATCCTACTGCTCATTGTCATCACCAAGGTCTGATTGCAAAAATTCAAAAAATTGCAACCTCAGGCATAAGTGGGTTTTTTAAAAGGTGCTAGTGGAGTGGTATGCAAACTCTATGATCCCAACTTTATGAAAACAATCTTATCCATAGGTGGATAAGAACAAGAAGGAAACATGAAAAAATGAAAACAGTTTTCATATCAGGCTTGAATTGTTACTGTATACCTGGGGATAAGAGAATAAGGAGGGCTCTCCCCAAAATAAAACTTCCAATATGGCACTTCTTATGCTAAGGTAAGAAAAACAGTTATAGATGAGGAAAAAAGGTAGGCAGTAGTAGTCAATGCAGGCAGTTTACTGACAACCACAAGAGCCCACCTCCCTGAATGGCATCACCAGCTTCCAGCTGTCTAGAGACGAGAAAATCAGCACGTGAGTGTGCAATGCTCAGGAAGGTCAGAGACATTTTGCCAGGGAATTGCTATTGGGAAGCACAGTGATTTATTCTCCTTACTGGTAGCAGGGATTCTGTCTGTGCTGTCGGTGATCCAGGGACTGTCTTCGTCTGGGATGGGGTGTACAGTAGAAAAGGTGTAAAAGATGTAACCTCCTGAAGTGCTGCTCCTTTCACTGGAGGAGCCGCTGCTCACGTCATCATCAGTAGGGTTGCTGGGGTAGATGTCTTCAGGATTCGTTCTGTATTCTCCTTTCTGGACATAGCGGGTGCCATCACGGTTAACAATAGCTGGGAGAGAGAAAAGGTACTTACAGAACTTCACAGCTCATATTTTGAGTATGTGGATTAGCGTTTAACATAGTGACTTCAAAGCTATTTTCCTTTGTAATGAGAAACACCTATCTATCCAGTGGTGGGAGAGAGTGGCAGATGCACTAAGAAAGTGCACCCTCCCATCCCCCACACACCCTGGGGATGAGGCAGGAAACAAGGAAGTACTGGAGAGTCCCATCCCTGTGTTTGAATCCTAGCTTCATAGAGCTCTGGACAAGGCAACTCTGAGCTTCAGTTTCCTCATTTGTAAAATGGGGATTATGTGATACATTGTAAGTAAAGTGCTCAGCACAGTATTCAAAATACAGTGGATGCTCAATAAATAATCATTCTCCCACTTGTTTCCCTACTCTCCCTTCTGAAGTACATATAAAATGTGTTGCTATTAATTCCATATATTCCTCCGAAAAGGATTTGAAGTAGCAGACTAATAGCCTCAGCAGGGAAGATACATCTGCAAAATGATGAAGATTTTGATTTTCTTTTTTAAGGGGCAAGTTTTGTCCACTTGTGCAAACACCCACTTCTGGCTAGGAAACCAGCAGGTCTAAATACAGAAGAGCATTTGCCGTTCTCTGTGAAATTCAACCTGGAAATTAACAAGCACAGATATACATGAAGATCAACATCTGTGGTTTCAACAAATGACTAGAATGAATTGGAGAAGAAAAAGCCTGAATGCATTCATTCATTATTCCTCCCTAGAAGTATTTGCTGCTCTCAAGTCTGGGCCACTCACTATGCAGGTGTGCATTTAGATGAAATTATTTTCTGCTGTATTGCATTGATGGGACTAAAGGTTCTTTTTGGCCACATATTTAGCTTGCTCAAATGAAACTTTTTTTTTTTTTCGAGATGGAGTCTCACTCTGTTGCCCAGGCTGGGGTGCAGTGGTGCAATCTCAGTGTGCAGCAGCCTCCGCCTCCTGGGTTCAAGCAACTCTCCTGCCTCAGCCTCCCAAGCAGCTGGGACTACAGGTGCATGCCACCACACCCAGCTAATTTTTGTATTTTTAGTTGACACGGGGTTTTACCGTGTTGGCCAGGCTGGTCTTGAACTCCTGACCTCAGGTGATCTGCCTGCCTCAGCCTCCCAAAGTGCTGAGATTACAGGAGTGAGCCACTGTGGCAAGCCTCAAGTGGAACTATTAATAATACATAAATGAAAAAAAAAATCAAGGTCTCAGTCACCCTGGTAATCTCTGCAGGTGAGGATTTGACAAGGAAATATTGTTGACCACACTCTTACATGTCTGGACTTCAAAAGAGAACTGTGGGCATCAAAGAAACAGGGCATTTATTAAACCTCTACTATGGGCTGGACATACATTAGACATAGTGTCTTTTACAAATTTCCTGAATATTCTCATAGGTTGTTCCATTATATGAATGAGAAAACTGAGGATCAGTCACTCCTCTAAAATCTCACACATGGTGAGGGAACTAGGATTTCATACCAGGCCTGCTGAGACAGCACATCTCATGTCGTAGCCATCATGGTGTGAAGCCTCCCCTTCCTATTGCAAGGCACAGGTCAGGGACAATTCCTTACATAACAATGTGGGGCTGGGTTTGTATGGTCTACGAAGATTCTCATCCCTCTGCCACTGCCAACATCATGCCTGTGCACACTGTCAGTATCCAGCTGTGAGGAAGCAGAAATCAGACCTCTCAACACTGTACTGTTTCCCATTAAATGAAGCTCAGAGGCCGTAAGATCAGGGTTAGCAGTTAGCCTATTTGAAAGTTCTGGTTGAGATTTTCTGATTTCTAAAGTGCTGGAATAGGCCAGGCATGGTGGCTCATGCCTGTAATCCTGGCACTTTGGGAGGCTGAGGAAGGAGGATTGCTTGAGCCCAGGAGTTCAAGACCAGCCTGGACAACATAGTGAGACCCCCATGTCTATTTTTAAAAAGTGCCCGAATATATACATCTGTGGATAATCATATATCAGGATGATTTAAGATGGATGTGGTATAAACAATGTCAAAACACGTATCAGGAAGTTTATATCCTTCATGATTATCTTTCAATACTTCAGTTATATCAAACAGAAAATTGCTAATTAGGGCCAAAATGCCCCTACACCTGACACTTATTAATCCCTCTTTATAAGAGAGAACATGACTCAGACCCAGAGCTTTCAGCAGCTGCAAATTAAGAACATTATTTAATTTTTCTTACATTTAAGTTTATTATTAAGGTTGCCTTCTATTTACGATGTGATGTTGGTTTTCCATGTGCAATTTCTTTTTAAAAATAAGTGTATTTTAATTAGAAAACAGTGGATCATTTAAATAAAAATATCAAGTAAATGAGAGCATTGTACATATAGAGATGCCAAAAAAAATGTGAAAGTGGTTTTCAAATGACTGAAGTTTGAGGAACGATGCATGAGTGTAAACCAGAGAGCAGTTTCAAGTCATTGCAGAAAAAAAGGAAGGGACACTGAATTAAAGCCAACTGTCCTTACTTAGTCTTAGGGAAATGACTAATATTTTTTTTTCTTTTTTTTTGGAAATGGAGTCTCACTCTGTTGCCCAGGCTGGAGTGCAGTGGCACGATCTCAGCTCATTACAACCTCTGCCTCCTGGGTTCAAGCAATTCTCCTGCCTCAGCCTCCTGAGCAGCTGGGATTACAGGCACCTGCCACTATGCCCAGCTAATTTTTTGTATTTTTAGTAGAGATAAGGTTTCGCCATATTGTTCAGGCTGGTCTCAAACTTCTGACCTCAAGTGATCCACCCACCTCAGCCTCCCAAAGTGCTGGGATTACAGGAGTGAGCCACCACACCTGGCCTAATATTCTATTCAAATATACCACAGAGAACACACCTGAGCCCTTTCCCCAAAATAGGAAAATTTAATTAAGATTAGAAGAGAGACATACTTATGGTAATTGGTCCATCAAAGGCATTGGGCAGGTCTGTGACTGATGTACAATCTTCTTCAGGTGGAGCTATGAGGTAGGAAAAAAAGGATGAGAACCCTTTAAAAACATGAGGAAAATCTACCCTCATTTTTATTAGTCAGTTAGAATGGAGTTTTACTATAACTTATTCCAAATAACTTTCTTTTTCCGAAACTCCTAAGTTGGCTAGGAATTTCTCTGCCTTTCCTGATGGATTTTCCGTTTTTACCTGATTTCATAAATTTCTGGAACTTATGAAGTTTCCGGAAATTTTCCCACCACAGTGAATTCATTCATTAATAAATATACATTCTATATCAGGCACTGTGGAAGCCTGGGGGTACAATTTTAAATAAGATAGACACGGCTCCTTCTCTAATGCAAACACATTAGGGAGGATTTTTAAAATTTGTGATTACAAAAGTAATGCAGGAACATTGTAAAAAAATTTAAAAGTAAAGTATGAACTATCATGAGAAAATCATTTATAATCTGGGAAGTCCACAGAAATGATGAGAAAACATGGCAGACACACAATCAAATGTTTATCAACATGAACAGCATGACAATCTGAAGGTTAAAATAACATAATCACAACAAAGAATTTACTCAGTTGAAATATTAAAAACCAAATGAATCTCTAGTCTTTCATTAATGTAATAATGTATTTATTAATTTAGCTGATCTTTTAGGTGCTTACTCTGTATAGACTGCTTCTCAGCATGTTGCTTCTGAGGTTGACCACCTTTGGCCTAGGTGCCCAGAATATTTTTCAAGGTTACTGTTTTGGCATATCTCATCATGGGCATTTCTGGTTTTTTTTTTCTCTTGTTCTCGTTTTATCCTCTACTCTTTCATCCCTTGCTTTAGGAATAAAGATTTCTGCCTGAATCTTGGGCCTGACTGATCATCCACAGATGTTACTGGTAGCCCTCTGAGCAGCACTGTCTCAAGCGGTCTGATAACAGGCCCTGAAACTTCCACCCTGCATTCCATTCCTTGTGTCTTAAAAGCAGACTGCAGTGTAGCTGAAGCAACCTTCTATTCATGCCAAAGTGCTTTATTCTGTGACTATACCTTGTATTGAGCTCTAAAACCTCAGAGAGCTTTAAACTGGTTTTGCCTTTATAGAAAGGTTAAGTCCATTTGTGCATTACAGCTTTTATTCTGTGTGTGTGTGCATACTTAAATTAAAATGGAAATTTATTTGTTAGGTTAGTTTCTCCCAGAATTGCTCCTGGCAAAGAGGAAGAAGGAGATGGATGGATGGAGATGGATGGATAGATGGATGGAGAGAGGGAGGGAGGAAGACAGGCAGGCAGACAGACAGACTGCTATCACAAGAAAGGCTGTTATCACAAGTATTTTAAGTGTCCTGCTATAATTTTTGTGTACTTATAAAAGTGGATAGAAACACAAGTTGAACAAAACAGGTTTTGTTTGCTTCCTAGTACCTGGGAGCATCTTTTCCCACAGATAAAAAGGATAACCTTAACCTGCCCATTTCTTTGGGCAGTTAGTGGAACTAACTGGCAGTTTTATACATTCAATTGGAAAAAAACAGAAAGTTTTAGGAAACACCATTCTTGCAAAGCCTGTCCTAAAAGATTTCTCAGATTTCTTTAAAGAGAAGTATCACCTCCTTGGCGAGGCCATTCCTTACCATCCAATCTAAACTGCTTCATCACTCCCCCACACCTGTCACCATCACATAGCATCTTGCTCTCATTTCTTCTTCATGTTTACCACCATATAAACTTATCTTGTTCATCTTACTTGATGGCTGTTCATGGCACTTCTCTCAATCTCTGCCTTCTGCTACCTGCCTCCCTCCCTAGAAATGTATAAGCTCCACAGATGAGTAATAACTTTATCTGTCTTGGCCAGAACATTTATGTGTGATGGGGACAGAGAAACATGCAATAAAAATGTGTTGAATGGATGAAAAAAGAAAAAAGTACCGATATAATTTCCCAAGGGTCTATTCTTCCAGTAAACACACCTAAGATGTTAGCCCCCTAAATGCATCTCCAAATATGTACAGGTCACGCATTTAGATTATCCTTAAATGGTAATGCCATAAGAAATAATTAAAGGAAGTTACAGATATAACTCTTCATTTATTATTTTTAAGCATCTACTCAACACTTATATGCCAGACCATATAAAAGGAGAAAAGAAGATGAGCATGTTTCTGTCCCTGCTTCTGATAAACTCACAAGGTCATGGGGGACTGTAATAATTAATATTAATTTAGCTTTTTACAGTTTTCAAAAATATTTTCCAAAATTATTACACTTGAAAATAAGGGCATATAGCCAACCTGGGAGATTTAGGGGAGTATCTATCTTGTTTCTCTTGGAAATATCAGCAGAAACTGACGCAACCTATGAGATGCTTCTGATATTTGTATGTTGTGCATACCTGGAACCAGGCTTTGGATTATGGCTTCTTGATGCCAGGGATGAAACAATCTCCCCTAACTTCAAATATAACTGCAAGTAACAGTACACTGGGAATTTCCAGGCAGCAAGTTGTAATAGAATGGAGCATGATGTCACAAACCCTAAGACAGTTTTGTAAATTATTAGAGCATTTGTTCACATGGACCCCCTTCATGCTCCAATTCACCTTAACTTTTATAAAGAACATCAAATCTGGCAAATATGCTTAGTGGATTGACCCAAATGTGCAATTAACAGACTCATGCTCTCATGTCGGATTCCAGGGCCTTATTAGATAGCCTTTCTTTCCATTTAATGAGCTCTGTACTGCTTGGAAAGCTAGACCTGGTGAGGTGTTCCTGAATCTGAGGACTTGTTAGAAATTCTCTGAGGTGGGCTTTCTCATAAACCTTGGCTTCAACACACCAAAATAACCAAGAGAAACATTAATTATTCAGTCTAACCACTAATCTCTGGTTGCCAGATAGAAAGGCACCCTCTTCAATGCTTGATACATTTTAGGTATCTCATAAATATTCTCAAATAGTTGTTGAATAAAGGAGGAAATGGATAAACAAGTACATGTAGAATCTTCCCTTTAATTCTACCCTCAAAAGAAAATGAGGCACTTGACTGAAAGCAAGCTTAATAAATGAATCAATTCAAGTCAGTTCTGTGTTCACACAGAAGTCACCAGGCTCACGTTGGGCCTCAACCACTGAAAATGAGGGAAAAAAAATCACAAAGGCCTTTTCAAGTTCTGCCTTATTTTCATTTGTTAGCCACAGGCCATGTTTTCTAAAAATACTGCTAAAACTTAAGCTTATGGAAGCTATCTACTAAGATCAAGCTGACTTTTATCCCTGTAGCCGTTTTATGGGGGGGATCACAGCACTGGGACATGACCACCTGCTAGCAGCTTTCAGGCTAAATTAGATTCAGGGATCCTTGCAATGAAATCTTTGCATAGGGCAGTTTATCAAAATCTTTAGCTCACTTAATACCCCTATCATCTGACTCTAATCCAAGACATTCAGAATTTATTTATCCTTAAACACATTTATCCTCTTCTCCAGTTTCTTTCTTTTTTTTTTTTTGTCTCATTGCTTCAACAAGATTGTTAACTCCTTTAAGACAAGAAATGTAGCCTCCAGTTCTTTCTTACTCCATCTCTGCCTAGTGCAGTACTGAGCACATAGAGGTGATCAATAAATATTCCCTTTAAACTTAAATAAAAACTTACAAAAGTAGCCATCAATATCGAGTCAATTTGGAAAATAGACAAAAGGAAAAATATTACTTCTAGCTTTATTATTTAATTCATCCATTTTAGTAAGGAACATACCCCCTGTACTTCTCAAGCTTTTCAACTGAACTAACCCTCCAAAGAGAAGAAAATTAATCAATGCTCTTGCTCCCAACTCCAGGTATGGGCCCAACCTCATGAACAAAATTAAGGATAGAAACAAGTCTCAGTCGCAGCCTGCCTAGATGGCTTCGATGCCAGGCAATAAAACAGTGTGAGCTTCTATCTGAGTTGAGGTTCCTTTTAGCAAGTGAAACCAACTTGCAAAACAGGTAAGACAATGTGGGTATGCAACTACATAATTTATTGCATACATTCACTCAGCAAGACTCAATGGGAGATGCAATAAGCAGTGCCCAGAGACTCAGGAGTGTATAGCCTCATGCCAGCCCTTTCCCAATGAGTCAACCTCTTCATCTAAAGCACAAGCTTTTCCCAATGTCTCCCTCTGACCTGTTGCACTGAGATGGAGCTAGCTAGACCACATGTTGCTCTATGTCTATTTCTTACTTTTTTATATGTGGTTTTCTCATTATAATATCATTAGAACGACATGCTAGACATGGGTATGGGAACTGAGTATGTATGAGTCGTGTACTACTTAGTGTTAATTGGACTCCCTTCCCTTTAGTCAAACTCCATTTGTGTTCTTCACTCATATAACAGGGAGGAGTAAACATTCTACAGTTTTCTGTTCCTGTTTCGTATGTCTCTCGATAGATTCAGTGACCTGTAAATTTTTGTCAAAATCTACTGGCTTCACGCACTCCATTTCAACTAGCCAGCCCTGATACTTTGTCCTAAACTCTAGATTTCTTCTCTGAATTTCCACTCTGATCCCTACTGTTCACACAACAAAGGGTAGGTGGTGTAGACTAAAGCCACTGATGTAATCTCACAATTAATTTTAATTTTTGGGTTTTTTTTAGTAGTGAGTAGAAGAAAGATCTCATAATTAAGTTGATGTCCTTTTTATAGTTTAAAAATCCATGCAGCTTTTTATATTTTACTACCATATATATGGTATATGTATATTTATATTTGATGTATATGGTATATATATCTGTGATATCTTGATTTTATATATATAAATGTGTATATATTTATATATACATATATACATATATATAAATATAAATTTATATATAATATATAATATTTATATATATAAAATTTATATATATTATATATAATTTATATATAATATAATATATAATATATATTATATATTATATTATATATAGAATTATATATAATATATATATATAAATTTATATATAAATATAATTTTTATATATTTATAATATATATTTAAATATATAAATATAATTTATATATAAATTTATATAAATAAATATAAATATATAAATATAAATTTATATAAATGAATATAAATATATAAATATAAATAAATATTTATAAATATATATAAATAAATATATATATAAATATATATATATGTATATGTATATATCTGTGTTTGTCTCAGGCTGATAATGTCTTAAGTCCCTTTCCAGCTAATTTAACATCCCCTTCACATCTTTAGGGAAAACTGACACTCCAGCAAGATGTACCAAGTTTACCTCAAGGCTTCATCTTTCCCTTCACCCAACTTCAAACCTTCCATGGGAACAGAAGGCCCAGTTTAAGAGGTAAGACTTTTGATAGTTGGCATCGAGATATTTGACATTTATATTTTGATCCTTCTCAAAAAATTCTGAAAATTCATGATGCATAGAATTCTTTAATTTTGCTAGGACTTGAATAAGGCTCATAAGCCTGATTTTCTAGGTTAATGGTTGGGAGAAAGTCACAAAGACATAGAGAAAGGCTGGCCTGTGTCCTAGCATCTACATCTTAACTTAGGTTTCTTCTTCTCTGGTTCTTTCAACTGTTGGGTAAGGGATATTTAAGAAGGTCAAAGGCATACCATATACTCTCCAAGGCTTTTTTCCAGCCCTCTCATATAATAAATACCTCTCAGCTAAGACATTTGACTTACACCCCAAAGCTATCATTAGATTCATGTCACTCCCTTATTCAAAACCTGTAATGACTTCCCATCACACTGAGAATGAATCACCCCGTTAGCTGGCCCTTGCTTAGCTCTCTGACTTTATTCCTTGGCATTCTCCCTTCTGAGCACTGATATTCTCAGAACAGTCCAGGAGGCACTTTCCCTGACCACCTTCTCAGAAAATAAAAGCATCCCTAGCACTCATTAGCCTCGTATTTTGCTTTCTTTTTTATAGCACTTTTATCACTTTCAGACTTCATATAGGGCAAGCTTGTCCAACCTGCGGCTCACAGGCCTTGTGTGGTCCAGGATGACTTTGAATGTGGTCCAACACAAACCCGTAAACTTTCTTAAAACATTATGAGATTTTTTTTGTGTGATTTTTGTTTGTGTTTTAGCTTATCAGCTACTCTTAGTTTTAGTGTAATTTATGTGGGGCCCAAGACAATTCTTCTCCCAATGTGACCTAGGGAAGCCAAAAGATTGGACAGTCCTGAATGGTATTTAATATTTATTTGTTTATTGTTTGCCTCCCCAATTTAGCATGTAAGCTCCATGGAGACAGGAATGTTGGCTCTGCTGTACAGATATTCAGTGAGCATTTGTTATGTAAATGGAGGCTACATGAATCCCCACTTAAGCTGAGCTCCAAAGACCAGGCTCCCACAGCCTTTCACGCCAACAGACACCCCCCTGAGAACCAACCTGAAGCATTGAAGCAATATGTGTCATACTGGGAGGTGTTGGATGTGAGGATGTACACCCCTGTGTTGTTTGCTGCACAGATGGAGTTGGGGTGGATCCGGGGAATCACCACGTGCCCTTCTATGAACCCATACCTGTAAGAGAAAAACAACAGGATATTGACCTAAATGGCTAAGATGGGAATTTCATAATATCCCATTCAATGACATTTAATGCCGTGCAACACTTCATTCAGTTCACCCCTAGGGATATCGGAGGTTTCAACAACCGAGTTATTTGAAATCCAAAAATAACAGCATAGAGAGGGAAAGAGATCAACAAGACTGATAGAAACAAAGTGATTTTATTTAGAGACCTATAAAGAGCTTTAAAAAAAAATCATGAAAGGAATAATTAGTTTCAGTTAAAATTTGTGTTCAGCAGTGTTGAGTCTATTTGAACAAACAGAAGGAAGCCTGAGTCACAGAAGAGAGAAGTTTTGATGTAAGATTCATGCTGGCTCTGGAATACCTTCATGTTTTCCAGAAAATACACAAAATGGCCAGCTTCCATAGATAGGAAGGGGTGCTTCTTTATTTCAGTGCACACATTCCAGACCTGCCTCATGTCCCATTCCCCCACTTCTTTCTCAGCCACAACTTTTCCTGTGAGTCCCCTTACTCCATACTCCATTGCCCTAAACATGAAGCCTTGTTTATATGCCAAGTACACAGCACAGCACACTGCCTCCTGAGCATTGCAGGCATAATTCTATTGCCAGTGGGAATAAATTAACCATCATTACAATGGGAGTCATAGCAATTAAGTAAGCAGATAGCAACGGCTCATGTAGCTCAGGAACTTTCCAGAAGTAGCACAGCCAGAGAAATGCATAGCCCCTCTCTCCCCACCAAGGTATCTCTGGGAGTGTGTTACAGCTGGATACGACATACAGATACAACATACACAGCCCAGCCTCTTCTAGCAGCATCCTGGTGGCTAAAAACTTGCTTATTTTTTAATTGTGCTAAAAACACAATTTTTTTTGAATATAAAATGCCTCAAAAAATGAGATGTGGGCTGAGAAAATGCCATGTGCAAGGGAAGCTGTGGTGCAGCAGGAGGGCAGAGAGGAGGAAGCTAAATCCAGCAGGTTTTTCAAAATGCAATTCTGGCTAAAATGCACATTGATGCTTTTCATCTTTCCTGCCAGGGGCAACAGCATGGAGTGCATCACCCTGCACGACCCATGGAAATGTCTGTGAGTCTGAAGTTTCCAAGCACACAGAACTCCTACCTATGTGGCAATTGTAGCTCGCATGACTAATTTCTCATCTGAACAGACAAACTGGTTTCCCCAAAGCCTCCTTAGCTTGGCAGGGGGTGTGGGCACAATTAAATGGTAATAAGTTTTCATATATCTAAGAGTTGCTACCAATCAGGGTGGGGCAGACAAAAGAGAGTAGCTGCTAAGGTTTTATCCTAACCCATGAGACTCTGCCATCTGTCCTGTGGCAGAAAGCTGATTCATAGCTACCTGAGAGAAATTATGGAAATGAGTTTTGCAATACTTAATACCAGTTATGGGTGAAATGATAGATTTCTTTGGCACAGTTTTTCTAAATAATACTTCTTGGTGAACCTACCCACCAACTCACCCCCATCACATCATGTCATCAAGTATGGATAACACCAACATTCTAGAATCTATTGCATTCTCTTTGTAAGCTATTACTGAGTTTTTGCCACCTCATGTTGCCTACCGGTTTTATGGGTCATGCTAACTGTAAATTGGGGATATTAAAGTTTATATGTGTGTATGTGGCATGAGTAAGTTACTGTTCACAAGGAGGAAAGAATATTCAGCAAATCCAGGAAGCATACTTTCCTCCCCTTTTAAGCCCCTGAGGAGGACTTGGTCATTAAAATCCTGTCCTGGGCTGAGGCTAAGCAGAACCAGAATCCTAACTCCTCCATAGGCAGGCTGTGTGTGCAAATTCGCTAAGCCTCGGCTGCTTCATCCATAAAATGAGGTGATAATATTGACCAATACTGCAGTTTGAGGATTAAGTGAGGGGTTTGGCCAGGTGGGCAGTAGGGCTCCCAGCATCTAAGTGCTTGATGATTGGCCAGTGGCAGTTGTAAGAACTCCCCTGGTCCTCAGCACATGGCAGCATATCTATATTTTGCAAGTATGCCTTGTTTGTATTTCACAATCAAAGTTCAGCTTACTAAATTCACTTTCTTAGGCCAGTGGCCTAGTCAGGGCCATAATTAAACAATTAGCCTTGGGAATAGAATAATGGATTTGCTAAATGGCCTTTTTTCATTGCATCCTACAGTGCAAGTTCAGTAGCCACCAGAGCTTTCTCCCTCTCTCTGCTCCTTTCATATTCCCCCAGACCTAGCTCTGAACACATACAGATGTCTATGTACATCTGCTCTTTATTTTAGAGCAGTGCTCCTCAATAGAACTTTCTGCAATGATGGAAATGTTCTCTAACCTGGGTCATCCAGTACAGTAGCCACTGGCCATCGGTGACTAACCGAGCACTTAAAATGTAGTTAGTGCTAGTGAAGAACTAAAGTTTTAATTTTAGTATTTTAATTAGTTTAAGTGTAAGTCACCACATGTGGTTAGTGGCTACCATATCAGACAGGGCAATTTTAGGCAAAAGACTTTCCTTTTCCCTTTCAGCAAGAGTCTCAGCCATCACTCATAATGTGGGTGCATGACTGTACCCAGTGTTGGAGGATAGAAGCACTTAACTTACACTTCATGGTTTCCGTAGAGTTCTGCAGCTTGACTTTTCAAAAGCAGTCTGTGTGCATGTGAGTGTGTGTTGCAGAGAAAGGGGAATCATATTACCTAAAGACACTGCAAAAGCACAGCTACAGGCTGGGGTAGAAACTTCAGAGCAGTTGCAGAGGTTACTCAGTCCTCTTCTAGTGAAAACAAATCGAACCACAACAATTCACTGTGATTGCCACCGTGGCTTGCTCTTCTTGTGCACCGCTTACCGCAAGGCCATTGGAAATTCAAAAAATAAAGTCCTTGCTTGTTGTGATTATCTTGCTTGGAGCCATAGTTTGAGGAAGGCTCTATGCAGCTCTAGAATAACTGGTAGGAGCCCTCTCAGGGCTCCCAAAAATAATATATCTTAATATAATATAGCTTAATAACTTTCATGCCTTTTTATTTACTTTTTCAAACCAGAGAAACATAGAAGAGAAACCAAAAAAAATTTTTTTTAAGAGAGAGTAAGAGAGAGTAGTTTGAAAAGTCTGCTTTGATCCAAGTCTGCAGGGCCAAGACTCTAACAGCCACATATTTATTTCAAACACTGTTATTTGGTTTATGTTTTCTTGTGGTTCTGACAATGATACTGCAGCTTCTTCAAAGCCAGGAGAGCTCTGTGGAAGCAGGTTAGACAAGAGGATTCCAGCCGAGAGGACCCCTAATGGCTTCCTCTGGGTTCCCGCTCTATGATTCACAAAGGTGTCTTTAGCTGACTTTAAACTCCAGTTGTCATACAGGTTGCAGATTGACTTGGCCAAATTAATACGTGGGGTTGACTCCTTAGGCAATAATCCATTCAGCTGTGGGAAAGGAGCCTTCCAGTTCTAAGCCCAGCTGCCTGGTCCCAGGCCGCCAGCTTTCCCCAGTGGTCGGGTGCTGGTCTCTTACCTGCAGGTCTCAAATCCGATGCTCAGAGCTTTCTCCATCTGGGCCATTGTGGGCAAGGTGCTATTGAAAGCCTTGCAGAGGTCAGCGGCCTCCGTCCGAGAGATGCTGTAGCGACCATTTTTCTCCACGTGGAATACACCTGCAAAGCGGCAGGTTATATTCAAATCTATGGGAAGAAATAGAAATGTTAGATTCTTTTGCATAAATAATTTGGAGACAGTAATAAGTTCAGTTTAGGACAGACTCCTTAAAAAGTCAAATAAGGCCGGGCGCGGTGGCTCATGCCTACAATCCCAGCACTTTGGGAGGCCGAGGTGGGTGGATCACCTGAGGTCAGGAGCTCAAGACCAGCCTGGTTAACATGGCGAAACCCCGTCTCTACTAAAAATACAAAAATTAGGCCGGGCGCGGTGGCTCAAGCCTGTAATCCCAGCACTTTGGGAGGCCGAGGCGGGCGGATCACAAGGTCAGGAGATCGAGACCATCCTGGCTAACACGGTGAAACCCCGTCTCTACTAAAAATATAAAAAATTAGCTGGGCGTGGTGGCGGGCGCCTGTAGTCCCAGCTGCTCCGGAGGCTGAGGCAGGAGAATGGCATGAACCTGGGAGGCGGAGCTTACAGTGAGCTGAGATCGCGCCACTGCACTCCAGCCTGGGCGACAGAGCAAGACTCCGTTTCAAAAAAAAAAAAAAAAAAAAATACAAAAATTAGTCAGGTGTGGTGGCACATGCCTGTAGTCCCAGCTACTTGGGAGGCTGAGGCAGAAGAATCACTTGAACCAGGAGGCAGAGGTTACAGTGAGCCGAGATCATGCCACTACACTCCAGCCTGGGTGACAGAGCGAGACTCTATCTCAAAAAAAAAAAAAAAAAAAGAACAAACAAACAAAAAGCCAAATAAACTTCTCTGCTAGCCAGAGCCTTCAAAATTCACTCCAGCATTCCAAAGCACCATGATATTAAGCTCAAATCTGAGAAAAGACATGGTAAAATAATATCACTCTTACATTCTCTCCATTGATTGCTCTGCAACAAAGTTTTTAAAAAGCAAATGATTTAATTTTGATTATTGATGTCATACAAACTTACAGAAAACTTACAAAACACAGGAAAGCAATGAAGGAAAATAAGTCCACCACTACAAAAACTACAGCAAACACTTTTCTATATCTTCTTCCAGTTTGTTTACTGAATACACACATTCACACGTGCACACATGCACACACGTACTTTATGCATATATACATAAAGTATGTATCTATATACACATACACACATACACACAAATATACATACTCACACATATGCTTGCATAATTGAAATGGTACTGAATATACAGTTCTAGATTTAAGAGTCATTTTTCCACTTAATCTTATGTTATGAGCATTTTTTCACAATCAAGTGATCTCTCCCTGGCTTACAACCTCCAAGAGTTTATGTTCATACCCAGTATAAATGTTCTTATTATGGCTAAAACCAACATAATCTGGCTCCTGGCTCCCTCTCTAACCTCAAAGTAGCTTGCTCTGCTCTAAGCACAAAGCTTGTCTTCAATTCTCTCAGACATTCTGAGCTCCTTCCCATCCTAGAATATTTGTATCTGCCTTCCTCTCTGTCTGGAATGTTCCATCCTCAAATGGTCACATAGGTGGTTCATTTTTTTTATCATTCAGAATTTTAACTCCACGTCACCTCACTTTAGAGTGCTTCCCTAAACACCCTTGTCTAACCCCCAGTCTCTCCCTCAACTCATTTGGCTTTTGTGTCTTCACAACAGCCTGGTCATCTATTGATGTGTGTGGTTACTCTCTTTCTCTCCTTCCTGGAATGAAAGCTCTGAGAAAGCAAGGGCCTTTTACTTGCTTGCAGCTGTTATCTCTAATCCCTATAACAGTACCCAATAGAAAGTAGATGCTCAACAAGTATTTGTTATATAAACGAATGACTCATTGAAATTTCCTCAGAAACACACTTTTAATATATTGGCAGACCAAAAGCCTGTCGTTTGCTCTCAGAGTTAATGGCATTGAAAATGAAGCCTAACTGCTATCAGTTGGGTAAAGAATTATTCAATACAAGGACTTTAGTGAGTTTTGTAGACATTAATCTGAAATTCCAATAGAGAGCTAGAAATCATCCTCTTCTACTTGATCCTGTGTAACAATCTCAAAAGACTTCAAAGGCTGTAATTGAAAACTCCTGGGACTATATGACCCCCGGTTTACACTTGAGGAAACTGCATGCAAAGGGTTAAGTCATTGAAACTATCCTGGTGAAGCTTATTCCTCCTGAACACTTCCTCAGGCCTCAATGACTGTCCTTCTCTAAGAAGACATGTTGACATCCTCTTGGGACAATGCCCCAAGTGCCTGGCCAGGCACCACTCCTTGTTGTTAGTTAAGAACCAGGTCTGGAATCAGACAGAACTGGCATTAACCAGCTCCATCTCTTCCTTGCACAGTTCTAGTGGTGGGTAGGAAGATTCCACTTATTTACCAACAAGAAAGTTGAGGCTCAGGGAAGTGAGTTGCCCAAGGAAGTGAGTGAGTACCTCTATCTAGAGCCTATAGTCTCCTTTCTGAATCCCAGTTGCTCTGTTCTGTATTTCTGAGCTGACAGCAATAGGAGAGGGGACCTATTACTGCAGTGTCCCTGGGTACCCAGTACCTTTGAGATTCTGTGTTGCATCATCTTCAGAAACCTGAAAGGTGAGTTTTATGTATGTATGTATTATTTATGGGTGAAGCTCAGAAAAATTAAATGACTCCCCAACGTCACCCAGCTCTTAAGTGGCAGAGCAGGAAATCTATCTCAGACCTGTTTACCACCCAAACCCATGATTTGAACCACTTTACTATGTGCCCAAGGATCCTTTTCTATCATTAGTGCAACTGAAGAAAGGAGAGAGGCACACCTAAACAACTGTTAAATAATGACAAAGAGTCATTATTATTGAATTGTATGGGCAACCACTGCTTTCTCTTTCCTGAGCAGGAAGCAGGTCTCAACCACGAGGAAACAATGTCTAACAAATGCAAAATGAGGTAAGAAAACTGTTAAAATTCTGTATTATCTTCCTTGATTCTGAAAATAGTAAAAGAAGAAACAAGAAATGGAACTTGAAAAGACATAAGCCAATGTCTATTATTTTTATTTTCTTTTGTTTGCATCATTAGCACATGGGGGGAAAATAACAACTAGGTGAAATGGAGAAAATGTGTTTTTGCAGTTCACTCTTTTTCAAGCCTAATGGTGTTCTCTTAAGCCACTCATGCAGCACTCGGCTGATGGGGCAATGAGAGGATAGAGAAGGAAATGCATAAGGCCCTTTTGCAATACTATTTGTTTTTACTGACATTTTCAACTTTGGCCTCAGTTGGCCAGTCTTACAAAAGGAAACTGTCAATCTACATGACAGACCTTCCGGGGCCTCTCCTTGTCCAGCACACAAAAGAAAAACAAAGCATTCCTATCAGCTTCTTGAAGATAAGGCTGATAGGGGAGCCTCTGATTCCAGGTGAGGCAAACTACCTGTCTGCCCCTGGCCCAGGTGGCTGCTGTCACTCTCAGGTTAAAAATCAACTCTGAGGCATGGACAATAATTGGAGCTCAATGGTAGTTTCTTTCTTATTACAGTCAATTCTACCTTGCCACCTGGCAGACAGAATATGCAAATGTAAGAGGAACCAATTGAGGCTGAGACTTTTCAGTAAAATCCCTTGAGTTTCATGAGTTTCAGCAAAATCCCTTGAGTTTCAGAAGCCAACATAACTTCACTGACAATACATGCATCCATTGTGTGAGTGTGTCTATATGACGGGTCTTCCAAAAGTTCCATGAAAAATACGTGCTATGAAAAAACTATACATAGATTTCAAATTTTTTTTTTTGCACCAAAATAAACTCTCACTAACTTGATATATCTGAACAGGATCTAGTTTGAGGCACTAACAAGGATAAGACATGTTTGAAAAGATCCTCTCTCAGAGCAACATGAATTCTGCTAAAATTGAAGCAAGAACACACACCAAAATTTTTGGTGAAGCTTAGGTGGAAGAATGAAAAAATCATTGATGCTTTATGAAAAGTTCATCAGGACAATGTCCCAAAGAAATCAGCAGCTTACAAACAGATAACTTGTTTGAAGAAGGGACAAGATGATGTTGAAGATGAAGCCTGCAGCGATATGCCATCCACATCAATTTGGGAGAAAAAAATTAATCTTATTTGTGACTTAAATGAAGAGGACCAATGATTAACAGCAGAAACAATGGCCAGCATCATAGACATCTCAACTGGTTCAGCTTACACAAATCTGACTGAAAAATTAAAGTTGAGCAAACTTTCCACTCAGTGGTTGCCAAAACCATTGTGCCCAGATCAGCTGCAACCAAGAGCTGAGCTTTCAATGGAAATTTTAAACAAGTGGGATCAAGATCCTGAAGCATTTCTTTGAGAATTATAACAGGAGATGAAACATGGCCTTATGTGTGTGATCCTGAAGACAAAGCACAATCAAAGGAATAGCTACCAAGAGGTGGAAGTGGTCCAGTCAAAGCAAAAGTGGACAAGTCAAAGCAGGTGGACCAGTGTAGAGCCAAGGTCATGGCAGCCGTTGTCTGAGATGCTCAAGGCATTTTGTTTGTTAACTTTCTGGAAGGTCAAAGAACGATAACATCTGCTAATTATGAGAGTGTTTTCAGAAAGGTAGCCCAAGCTTTTGAAGAAAAAATGTATCGAAAAGCTTCACCAGAGAGTCTTCCTCCATCATGACATGACAATGCTCCTGCTCATTATTCTCATCAAACAAAGGCAATTTTTTTGAGAATTTCTATGGAGAAGCCATTAGGCATCCACCTTATAGTCCAAATTTGACTCCTTCTGACTTTTTTTTTTTTGTTACTTAATCTTTAAAAATCTTCAAAGGGCACCCATTTTTCTTTAGTTAACAATGTAAGAAAGATTGCATTGATGTGATTAAATTCCCAGGACCCTCAGTTCTTTAGGGATGGACTAAATGGCCGCTATCATAGCTTATAACAGTATCTTGAATGTGATGGTGCTTATGTTGAGAAGTAAAGTTTACATCTTTAAACTTTTATCTTTTAATCTCATTTTTCCATGAACATTTTGAATTCTCCTCATACTTATATGTTTGTATGCAAGTGAGTGTGTGGTTGTATGTGCATGTGATCAGCCAAGACAGGATGAAACAGACAAACTCAACCTTTAGCCTTCCTAGATGTGAAGGCTTAAGCAGGTTCTGACACATTGTAGGTATCTGCAAAGGGCTGCTGATTGGATGAAGAAATCCTATGCAAAGTAAAAATTCCACAGCTTACATTTATCTTGATCTCATGAGAAAGTCCAACTCCTAACCCTGACGCTATTTAGCTACTTAGGAGTTGCAAGAATGGTGTCAAATACTTCATTTCTGGTCAACTATCCTGTGAATGTTCACAATCCTTCTACTCTAGGTCCCTCTTGACTTAAAAGGAGCCAACATTTTCAAGGCTGTGTGTCATTCAAACCCTGATAATTTATGAAGACATTTCATCAGGTTTCCTTGATACTAACGCAAACCCAAATTATTACCCGGGAGGATATTAATAATGCCAACAGCAAGAGCAGTGGCTAATATTTATTGTGCATTCATTGTGTATATGCCAGGCTCTATTTTAGGCACTTTAGAATTATTTACTCATTTTATCCTTAAAACATTCCTATGAGGTGGGTAATATTAGTATCCTCATTTTCCAGATGGAGAAACTAACACACAGAGAGGGGAAGAAATAAAGAAACATGCCCAAACTCACAATGAAGTAGAATTAAGGCAAGGTTAAGATGTGAATAGCCATGGACCACAGAACATTGCTTGACAGAGTGCCAGTGTCTCTGGCAATGGTGCTAGCCATGCTGCAAACCACTATAGAGAGGCAAGACTCCTCAGATGTCTGTGTGTCTCTCCTGAGAAACAGAGAACTCTGTGATTCAGGATCCACTTTGATTCAAGAAGCTAATACTAAATGGCTGATTGCATCTCTCAAACAAGCCTTTCTGGCTGGAAATAAACCAAGAATGTTTTCCGTTGAGCCCTCTGGTCTCCAATAAATCTCCTGCATCATGTAATGAATAAAATGTCCCAAGTGCCTCCCTCTGAGCGATAAATGAGCTCAACTGAAAACACTGACTGTTTGAGGCCACTTTTGGATTTGGAGAGGAGACTTCCCGTGGTAGAAATGCCACCAGGCCTTTAGCACGCTCATTACTATAGGGCTGTGGGCAGCACAGAGGGGTCATGGAGACCAGTGTCCCAGTGTCTAGGAACCTTATCTCCCTACCCACATGGGAAGAGGTCTGCTAGGGAGCTGTCAGGAAGGCGAGAAAAAGGAGCTCTGAAAGAAGGTTTTTTTGTCCTATAAAGCTGGTCTGTAGTGCCAAACTTTTATGAAGGTCAGTAGTTCAACCTAGTTAGGACCTCCTCAAACCTGGTTCAATTCCTGACCCTGCCACTCACTTTAGGTGACACAGGTTGTTAATTACTTAACCTCTCTGACTCTCCACCTCTTCCTTGATGGGATGACAATGCGAACCTGTCAGGGTTTATGGGACTATTACATGAAATAAGGTATGTCAAACACTTGATATGGTGTTTGACACTTAATAATCAGAGCCAATGAGCATTGCACACTTATTAGGTGCCTTATGTACTTCAGCTAATTTAATTCTCATAAAAATGCTATGAGGTAGGCACTATTGCTAAACCCATTTTAGAGATGAGGAAACTGAGGCACAAAGTGGTGAAGTCCTTTGCCCAATGTCATCCAAGTGGGAAAGTCAGGATTCTAACCTCTATGCTATGTTGCCTCCTATTCAGGCTCCTGGTTACAGGTACTATGCATTCTCTCCTGGATAAACCATCACTGATCCCAAATGCCATTAATCTCATCTATACTGCCCCCTAAGCCTCAGATCAAGGAAAATAGATCTCTGATAAAATTGTCCGAGCACATTTCAAAGCTTTGCCTAGATTGTAGGGCCTGCGAGGAATAATAGCTTCTTGGTCCACCCCAGTTATTTCTGAAGTTGTAGAAAATCACAACATGTGCTGGGAAGAGAGCACTGTGTAATTTTCACCCAAGTTGCCATTATCTACGTCTTCCCAAACTTTCCTGAGAGGTGAGTGGCCTGGTACTAGTATTGGAGCTGGGCTGCAAGGGATTTTCAATATGGAATCCAGGAGCTGGTCAATACATCCATGGACCTGTGAGATTATATGCAAGATTGTGTGTATGGATGTGTGTGTGTGTGTGTGTGTGTGTGTGTTTAGGTAGGGCAACATCTCTGGTTTTCATTGGTTTTCAAAGTCTGTGACACAACCAGGTAAAGAATTACAAGAAATTATTATCTTCAAGGTCTCTAGTAACCAGAAATTCCAGCATTCTGAAATTTTGGAACTTCTCTGTGGGCTTCGTTGACAACAGAAATGGTGTCTCCCTTCTTCACAATTATATTCCCAGTACCTAGTACAGCCTCCCATGGTAGGCAAATGTTGAATGAAATAATGAATTAATAAATGCTCTCTTTCTGCCCCCAACCCCCGACAGGCTGCAGTCTTATAGGGTGCAAAAAGATCACCTATCAGGTTCCTTTCCCACATCATATCTGAGGAATCACCAGCTGGTGTTTGCTGAGAATTCCTTATTGGATACTTAAAATGTCTTTAACCCAGAACTTTGCTTCTGTGAACATTTGCTGTTTTCCCCGAAAGCAAATGTTTCAGAGACCAACTTTTAGTTTTGTAACTGGCTTTGTCTGTCTGAATGTGCAAGCTATCATCTCAGTTACAGGACAGTATGTTCACATACCATCACAGGGCCATTTCTGAGGCCAGATCTCCTAGGGAACATGGCAAACACAGTACATTCCATATGAAGACCACCCAAAGACAACCTACAGTCATACTATGCCCAAAGAGAGGGCACTGTCAGTTCTCCAGACCAGACGTCTCCAGATTCTGCAAAATGAGTTAATTTGTTTTCTAACTTGAGCCACCCAGGTGTGCCTGATCCCTATTTGTCATCTCCTCAGGAGGGATGAGGCAGAATTAGATTTTTGGTTCCAGATTAAGCTATATGTAAGGAGAAGTTGCTTTATCATGAAGATGAGAATAAAGCCAGTTCCTGCTACTCAATGGTGTTCTAATTCCTGCAGCTCCTGGTCCATAACCACAGTGAGCACTCACTGAGTGCCTAGTCTGGGTTCAAGGTATTCAGCACTTTACACCTAATATTTCACTTAATTTTCCTAACAATCCTGTGTGGCAGGCATTTTTATTATCCCCATTTTACACAAGAGGTAACTGATTCATTGAGAAGATGTAAGTAACTTGTGCTAGTCACTGGGGGACCTGGGTTTCAGACTGGGCAATCTGGCTGATCATTTTCCAGTGTTAAATTCCAACTTATGCACAGGTCAGACACTGAAATGACAGGAAGCCCACTTACCCTTCATGTGATTTTTTAATAAAGTGTGGAGAGGTGATCATGAAAAGAGAGCCCTAGAGAGAAGAATTTGAGCTTATTGAATATTATTTTAAGATCAGAAGTCCCTTGATTCTGGACCACAAGATAGGGGCCTTTACCAAGGCCTGGTAAGGCTTCAGTGGAACAAACTTCACTAATGGAATTTTCACTCTCTCTCCAGAGAGGAGATTCTGAAGTCTTGACCTTGACTGGCTTTCCCCAGCAGTGGGCTGACTGCTTCTCTCTGATTCTGCCTGTTGGTCTTCCCATCATACTCTTGGGAATTTAGAAAGCCCAAACCTAGTCGTAGCCCCCAGGCCTCCTGCCCTTTACAGCCTGAATGCTCTCTCTACAATTAGGCAGGGCTCTTAGGAGAGGACTCCAGGACTTGGGGTTGGCCCAGGGTTGGGTCACCAAGGACACAGGCTGTCCTTGTGACATTACGAGATGTCTGCAGCCAAACCCAAAAATCTAGACTGACCAAGCTAAGGCTCCAGGTTGATGTAGCTGGAACATAGCTCTCTGGGTGGACTGCACCCAAAGTGATTGAGCTCCTGGGAGTCAACCACACACAAACCACTTGGGCAGCCAGAAGCACTGGTAAGCTCTCCAAATTTTTTATTTTTACAGTGTTTATCATTAAAAAGCCAGGATTCTATTTCTGTCCTCTGATTTGCTGAGCTCATGTCCAAAACAGATTGCACAACTAATAAATCTTACTGAGCTGGTTCTGATCAGAAGTAGGAAGGGAAAAGGACAAGGTTTTGTTGTTTTAAAGCATTATTGTTAATTGGATTATCTATTTTTAAAGCCAGGAGGCACAATGGGAAGCTTCTAACCAATTTCTCTTGTGACACAGGAGAAAATAAAATCAAGGATAGCCGAGTATGGTCCTCCAGCAAGTTAAAAAACAAAACAAAACAAACAAAAAACAAAAACAAAAACACACACACACACACACAAAACTCAGTGGTTCATAATTGCAGATTTCTGACTCCTACACCAGTGCTGTTGCTACTGATCTATCTTTCATAAGAGGTCTGAGCAAGCTGCTCTCAAAAAAGCCACAACTCACTGTCTTAATAGGACACGAAGAAGTCATTTTCTTCTTCATTTGTTCGAAGGCTTCAAAGCCCAGAAGTTTTCATCTGGGAGTCTTTCTAGCTATTGTGCCCTCTGCTGCCCCCCAGGCCTGCCAGTCTAGAAGGCTGGCACATCACTCGCCCCCATCTCCTGATGCCCATGTGATGGGCTCCTGGTGAAAGGGTGTATTGTTTAGCATCCACTTCTGAATGAGGCCAGAATCACACTTGGTGGCCGAATCGCCTTTGGCTGCCCAGTGCAGACCATGAGTCTTGAGTGACTCAGTCTCTCCCGGAATTGCCCTGGAGGCAGATGAGGGTTTAATGAGCAGAGAAAACAGTCATGCACAATCATACCCAGAGAATTTCCTCCAGAATGTGCCCTGGGTTGCTTTCAACTGAGCTATTCATCACTTGGCACTTAGAAATGCAAGGCACCCCAACGTCTTGGCGCCTGGCTGGACCCCCTGATTTCTCTGCCTTTTTTCCGTGGAGCCTGGAGCCTGTCATGGCAGTCAACGCTGAACCAACATGGAGGGGCCTGTCACATTGGAGAAGAATCCCAAGGGTTCTCCTAGCTGTTACCCTGGCCCTTCAGCCAAGGCCACCAAATGATCAACCCAATGCACAGCCTAGAAAGCTCTTGGGTTGTTTTGAGAGTTTGGAGAACAGTACTGTCCCTGTCTCCTAATGGGATGATGGGGACTTGGAGGTGAGGGTATGGAGAACTGTTTAACCCCCCACTCCTGGTCCTGGATCCAACAGAGTCTTTCTGGCAAAAGAAAGTATATGTCCCAGAACTGTTGCTTCACTGCACCAGAATTCTGTAACACCAAGTAGTCTTTGACGAGTGCGTCTTCAGGCAGAGAAACCACAGTACCCACCCCTGTGTGTTGCCATGGTGATCAGGAAATCCTCTGGCCTCACGATCTTTGTTTTCTGCTTTTTCGGATCTTATTGATTTAGCAGATTGACTAGCACAAACCCAGGATGTGGTAAATGAAATGAAAAAAGCATCTTGGGGCCCAAATAGGGTTTTTCCTCTTGCAAGTAGAAAATAAGGTTGGGCCACTTGGTTTTGTCATTGTATTTTTTTTTCTGGGTAGTTACAATGACTGATACATCACCTAATCAATATACAGTTTCTGCTAATGTCTATAGCTGGCATTTTGTGGAACTGCTTAGCTTTAGTTTGAGGGAAGACTTTCGTAACAGTTGAGGTAGGATGAGAAACTGTTACTCATAGGTAATATCTATATTTCAGGGCTGATTCATGGGTTGCTGACATGCTGAGATAAGCCGGGGGCCCCCATCTGGGAGTGGGATGCACTGGTTCTAGCCTAAACTCTGTTAATTATAAGCTAATTATGTGACCTTGAATAACTCCCTGTAGCTCCCCCAGGCACACCTTGCCTTCCTGCCACCCAAGATGAAATAAAAAGTTATGAAATTTTGGAGCTTGGGGGATAAAAGTGAGAAGGTTGATGTGCATACCTGGGACAGTATTAAAATCTCAAAAAGCTTCTCAGAAACCTCATATGAATTAAGACACATTGGGGCTCCACCCTCAGCAGAACCGAATGGATTAAAGTACATCAGGCTTTGCTATTCTTGCCACGTAGCAGTTTCCTTCACCAATTATAAAGCACTTTCACACCCAAAAGCAGCCTGTGAGGCCCAGAGGGTAGGTACTACAGACCCATTTAAAAGGTGAAGAAACTAATGGACATAAGTTTCACAGACTCAAAGTCTTACGGAGAGTTTGGTAAACCCAGATCTCAACTCAGATTTTCCAGTTCTGCTAATTTTCCCCATTCCCCTCTGGTGCTGCCTTTTCAACTTGGGTTGTCAACAGGCAAATGGGACCAGTGGAAGCATTCAGAGAGAAGATTGATGGTTTTCAGATGTTTCTTTCTCTCCCTGACATGATGTCTTAGGCACAACCACAGTATTTCAAGTGGTTGAAAATCAAGCTGAGCTAATGGGGGCTGGAGTGAGGGTGGAAGGGCAGACCCAGAGACTCAATCTACCAGATGCTCATTCTCTTCCAGCACCCACCCTACCCCATCAATTGTTCTGGCACCCACCACAAAGCCCTAAGAGCCTTGGTGGAAAAGTCTGGAAAATACTGTGGTAGGGGCCAATCAAAGTGACGATGGCCACCACTTAGTAAGTCCTGCAATAAACCAGGGGCTCCAAAGCATTTGGAAACCTAGGAGGGTAAATCATCCCATGCAACGGACATACAAACAGATGCTCAGAGCAATTAGTACAGCTCAAAGGCTGCAGCCCAAATGAAATATATTGTGCAAAAATGCTATCCATGAGCCAGGCTTAGTATTATCATTTTTGTATTCTTCCCTTCATTATTAAGAACACAAATATCTTGCAACTTAAAGTTTTTCATAAAGATTGTCCCTTGCTCACTCTGCAGAGGAGATAGCAAAGTTTGAGTTTCCAATCCTACTCTAAGGAGACTGGGCTGGGTAAATAGTGGACTTGGCCAGATTTATACAATCAAAAACTGCAGTTAAGACTTGTTGTCTTTGAAGATACAGCCATCCAGATGGAGAGAAGCAAAAGGTCACCACCAATTCCACCAGAGCCCAACTTCAACACACAGCCCACGGCATCTCCAAATTTGATTTTCTTTCCTCTTGCCTCTTTTAGCATCTCCTTAAGTGAAAAAGAAAAGATTCTGCAATGTATGGAGCTGCTAATTTGTGTCAGATTGTAGTCTATGTGCCTTAATAGATGCTATACCTTGAGAAGTCAAAAAATCACCCCCATTTCACAGATGCAACAAGTGAGGCTGAGTACAATCCACTCAGCATCCTGCTATGAATGTGGCAAGAGCCAGGAGTCAAACCCCAGGATAACACTTGGTTTCTGACATGAGTTAGCTAAGACTCAGTTTACCAAAGCTGTGCCTCTCTGCTTGGGATATGTGGATTCTCACCCTGGGGCATGAAATGTATGTGAATGGTGGGGTAATGGATGTGGCTGTAACACTAAGGCTCTGGCAGCTTCTACTGCTGAGCCCCCAGCTGGGTTTTCCAGTGATATTAACACTAATAGAGTACCTACTGTGTGCCAGGCTCTGTGCTCGGTACTTCACATGAACTATCTCGTTTCAATCCCACAGTAGTCACATGAGATAAGTACTATTGCGATCATTGAAACTTGATACATATAAGAAAACTGAGGCTGAGAGAGGTGCAAGTTTGCACCAGCAGGGGGTGAGGCAGACAAATCTCTTCTTTCTCAGGGGCCACATGCAAATGTCTCTCTCCTTGCTGCACCTTGACTTTAGGAGGGTACAGACAAGAAGCAGAATCATGCCTCTTCTCAGATAGTTTTAACATCTTGGGTTAGAATTTGCTAATACCATGCACATTTAGCTGGGGGGAGGGAGCTGATTACTACTTTTTCCTCCCAGGAAGTAGCCATGAGACCAAAGAAGACAGGGAGAATTTCATAGAGAAATTGGTCTTGCACTGGGATTTAAGAGGCTTGAGCCTAAACAGGGCTGACCCTGTAGGGACCACAGCAAGAGGAAAAGCTTGATGAATGGACTGGATTTCTGCCTGACTAGTATAGTCCTCTAATTCTCCTATGAAGGATATTTGTTCTTCCCAGGACAGATGCCATCTGGTTCGCATACTCCATAGATTGATGCTTTTTTACCCCTTTCCCCATACCACCACTATGATTCACAGGGTGCACAATGCCAGTCACACTCCAATGGGCACTAACTGCCTTGTAATCCTAGTGGCCTCTTCCCTGTTACTCAAAGAAGCTTATCCGAATGCAAGCAAGTGAGTGTGCATGTTTTTCTAGGAACAACCATGAGTTTCCTTCAGTTTAGAAAAAAAAAAAAAGGTAAATCATTCATAACCCTTGGCACTTGGTGGCCAATAGCTCTTACTTACAATTTACCTTACAACCACCACTGACTTACAGGTGGATTAAAACAGAACAAGATTCATGCCTTTAGGTTATCTTGCCTTCTTCAAATATATTAGCAATGAAGTGATGCAGCTGCAAAAATATTTATTTGCAACAACAAAGCATTACAAGTGACAAAGTAGAGCTCTAAATTTCCACTGATTTCAAAGTCAGAGGACTCAGAAATCACCAGGTCACATGTTGGTGACTCAATCTCTGTCTTTCCTCATGTTCCTCTTTTTCTATCAGATGCTAAAGCGAACATGGGTGTACATGTCTGTGTGTGTGTGCATGTATGTGTGTGTTTCTGTCTGTGTGCACAAGAGCATGCACATAAGAAGCAGGGTCTCCTTCGCAGTCCAAGAACACTACTGCTATTCACTCTTCAGATGTTTTGGGGAGTTACACAAACTTTCCCAAGCAGAAGCCCTACAGAGGGAGAAGCTGGATTGTGGGGATATTTTTAAAATGTGGGCCAAAAGGTTTCCAGGATTACTACAGTTCCAACTGCCCTGTGAACTAATTGCTTGTAATTCACACCTCTTCCTGAGCTTTCAATCCGTGAAATCTCATCTGGAACAACGGATGCCAGTCTCAAATGCCAAGCTCCAGAGAACTCATTTCTGACAAGCTTTTAAATCCAACTCAAGTCACAGGGTTTGGACCAAAATCTTTACCATTCCATGCTTAGCTGAAGCAGGCCAAACATAACTTCCTTCTTTTAAGGAGCATGATCCATGCAAAGATCCAGAGGCTTGGAAATGAAGGACATTACAAATGACCCTTGTGTGCAGTTGTCAAAGAAAATAAGGTCTTGGTTTTCCCTTAAATAAATGACCCTCATACATGACAGGAGACCATACCTCGCAAAAGCCCATTCTTTCACCATAGACATTGGTGACCTAGACCTAGACCTAGAACCATCAGGGTGGGAACAACTGGGTCTCTTTCTATGAAATCTGTGCCTCTTAAAGCACCATTAGTTTCCATAAAGCATGGTGCAAGGTGTCAATTCACAGCACCTTCCCTATGATATGGTTGATACAAGCCAGATACAATCTTGGGGGCTGGGGAGTCAGACACGATCTGTGCCCTCAAAGAGCTTACCTCTAGAGTGAGGATATAGTATACAGGTAAATGATTAATACATGAATACGGTAATTTCAGATACTCATAGTGTTACACAGAAAATAAAAGAGGATAATATAATAGAGAATGACAGGGCTCTTTTGACAGGTGGTCTGTATGTCTAAGGCTCACTCTTTTATGAACTCATGGACACATTTTACTTATTTATGGGGCTTTTTGTAGGCTCAGATACCTGGCAAAAGGAAATACACTCCTCTTCCCCCCCAGCACACAGATTAAATAAGATTTGGAATTCATCTTTGCCTCCCACAGTCCATAAGAAGATGTCCTTAGAATTCAGACTCAGTAGGGTAGACAAGGGAAACTTGGAAGGCAAAGGCTACAACAACTGAATGACCTGGCTTAAGGGATAAGAGTTCCATTTGGGTCACAAGCTGGGTAGAATTGGTGTAAGTGAAGCTACATCCATCCTTTCTGAGTCTTGACCAGAAAAAATTCAAGGCAAAATCCAATCAGAGACTTACAGCGCTGCCCAGCAGAGTGCAACTGTGATGTGTCCACTCCCAAGCCCTCTGAACGCTTGCAAGGCTCTCCTGACCCCCTGACATCTATGCCATCCATTGCTTCACAATTGCTGGTAACTGGTGATTGCAAGGATTTACCCTCATTGTATTGTGAGATTGCAGTAACCATATGGCTTGGATCGGAAAGATCCAAGAAAGACTTGGGTCCAAGTCCTGGCTTGAGCTCTTGTGGGATGTTATGCATGCTATGTTTTCTTAACCTTTAAGCCTCAGTCTCTTCATCAGTAAAATAAAAGTAATGCCTTCCTTATGGGGTGCTTTTTGAGTATTAGATGAAGAAATATACCTAAATCATTTAGCAAAGGACCTGACTCTCTGCAAAGAGCCTGGTACTTAACAGATATTAGCCAATCATCTCAAAGATTAAAGTGTATTAAAGGCAGCTTAAAAGTAAAGTGCCTCTTACTCTAACTTAATTCTTTATTAACTGGTCAACCACTTTCAGTATCCTTGGTTACAACCACTCAAGACCTCCAGGCTTCCTGATAATTAGGAGCCAGAAGCCTAATTATCCAATACATGGGCTCTCACTCTACATTACATGTGTTCTCTCTTGATAGAGAGGATAGATTGGAGAGAGATGAGAGAGAGAGAAAGAGAAAGAGAGACTTTATAAAACACCATTCTAAGGAGGATCCTGCCTCAAGTGTCCTAACCCATATAACCAAAGTGGGTTCCACTGGGACCATGCCTTATTCATCTTTGTGTCCCCAGTGTCTGCCATTTAGTATGGTGTACAATAAATGTTAACTTGGTTTAGTGGGAAGAACATTAGGTTGAAGGTCTAGTGACCTGGAGTTTTAATATCAGGCTTCTTACTGATAAGCTGTGAGTACTTACAGAAGTCACTTTACCTTCAGAGGCCTCGTTTACTTTATCAGACAAGAACAGAGTTGGATTTGAATATCTCTAAGTCCCAGCCAACCCATCCCTCTGCCTCTAGAAGAAGGCTACATATCTTTCTCACTTACGCTACAAACACTCAAGGAATCCGTGTGACTCTCTCCTACCTGCAGAGAAATGGCATTTCACTCTGGTGTCAAGGTGGTTATGGTATAATGAATGCGTCAGACAGGGTGGACTAGCCAGTAAAAAGAAACAATTGGCAAAACACAAAAGAAAGTGTTACCAGCATCCTGCTCTCAGAATACACCAAATAAACGCCTTTCAGCACGCAGATATGAGAACCTGCCCCATCGAAGCTGGAGGGAAAGAGTGGTTTCAATTAAGAGAAATGCAGCAGCTACTGATTCCCTTAGAGAGAAGCCTCCTAAATTGCTACACACTGTCCCAGTGATCCCTGCAATAAATTTCAGCATCTTGGGCCAATTTGAACCATTCTTCAGTTCTGAGACAATCCTCACCTGAGGAGCTGCTGAGTGGCCCCCAACTGAAAAATGAATGGGAAGCTGGGAGGCATCCCCCACCTGGCACCTTGATCTTTGATGGCCTTGGAGGCCCCATTGCCCCTGGGGAGAGTGAGGAGAGGAAAGTTTCCACCACCTCCTTTCCTGAAGATGCCTCCCAAGAGTTCTCAATTGTTTTGAGCTCCTCAATTCTCAAGGAGCCAGAAAAATCCAGTTTCTTAGGAAAAGGAGACACCTTGAACTTTCAAGGCTCCATTCTAGGGACAGAAGAACAGGATTAATCCCATGAAGCTGAATGGGAACTTGCAGTGTAGTGTTAAAAGGGAGAAGGAGCTCTGAATTGAATTCCAGCCCCACCATATAAAAGCTGAGACATCTCAGGCAGGTTACGTCCGCTTTATGAGCCTCAGTTTCTCTGCCTGTAAACTGGCTCTGATGAAATTCAGCCATTCATTTATTCAGTTGTCATTTGCTGCCTCTCTCAAAGAGAAGTTGATGGGAGTTAGAGAATAAATATACAAAAAGCACCAGTAGAGAGTCTGGATCATAACAGATAGTTAATAAATGTCCGTTTTTTTTCCCTTCTCCTACAGGAAGATGAAACCTTGGATGACTGGCCCCAGTCTTCCCCGCTGCAAAGGGGTCTCATAGTTTCTAATTTATGATGTGTTTGCACCATGAAAAAATCATCTGCACTTTGATAATCTGCTCTTTCATCTCAAACAACAGTCCAAAATCACACTCTAATGAAATTAAAAGCAGATGAGAAACCGACACACATGTAAATACTCCTATTAAAAGGTGCAAAAGCCTTACTCACTTCTGAGGTGTGGCTGGGAGTGGCCAGATCTTGTTTTCTTTAGAGGACAGCAGAACTAAGCAGCTAAAGGCAATTAAAGGTATTTTTGGAGATGAGAGAATTGATTAAAAACGATGGACACACTTTATGCACTCAGAAGCTGGCACCTCATTGGCAACCAAGAAATTCCAAGCTTGCGCTTCTAGGGAGGAAGTGGACTCTGGGAAACTCCAAACTTCTCAGAATGAAAAGGAAGCTACTCTGTTAAACTGCCTCTGGAAAGAGCCCTTCTGTTCTCTGGCCTCAGAGAACAGCACTGTAAGGAAACAATTGCAATGGGAGAGGGAGGAAAACACCATTTCTTCCTCCAGCCCCACCACCCACTGCCAGGACAGAAGGCAGGAAGAGGCTGATCCTGCTGAGACAAGCAGCCTTGGGGATTGACTGTAATTGTGCAAGTAAAGACAGGACCTGGAGTGCGTTTCCCAGTTCACTTTCACCAGCTACAGCAATAATCCTGCTTCCCGGAACATTCCATGCTGCTTCATTTGCTCAGCAACAGTTGTTCCAGGAAGCCTGTATGCACATAGTGTCAGCTTGCTGGTGTGCCCGCCCTGCCAAATTCAATGAGAGTTTATTGGCTAATGTTTTTCCCAGAAATGGGATGAAAATCTTCCAGAGGCAGCTGGAATCATTTTCAAGTGCAGCAGGAACACAGTTGGGGCAAATGGTGAATGGAGAGGCCCCAAGTGTAATCATCACAATGACCTTAATTATGACTGTTGAATGCTTACTCCATGCCAGTCGTTCTATCAAGGGTTTCAAGTCTGTGATCGCGTCAGTCCTTACACAACTCTAAGCCATAGGTATATTACAACTCTATTTTAGAGAAGAGAAAATTGAGGCTCAGAAAAGTTAAGTAAACTGCTTAAGGCCACATAATTGGTGACTGGCAGAACTGGAACCCAACTCTATCTCTGCAATTCATACGGCTTTCTAAGCACCCAGCACACCAGAAGCAAACTCCCCAATGCGTCCTTGACAGCCCAGAGACTCAATTATGTGGGCTGGAGTAAACCTTCTCAATTCCGGCCTTTGGAAGAAGATAGGAAAGCTGGTTCTGAGAGACCCTGGTCCCTGCTGGCCTATTTGAAAAGGATCTTATTTCTGAGTGTCTCCCAGGGCTCTGGGAAGCTACTTTTGGAGAAGAAACCAGATGAGTTTTCCAGAGTTTTTAACAACGCAAACAATGCAGAATACAAAAGTGGCTGTTGACTTTAGCCTTCCAAACAATACAAAGAACAGGAAGCTCAAACAGATAATCGGGCTCCTTTCCTATATCATCAGAAACTATGCGGAAGGAAGCCTGGGGATGATCTGATGAGGCTTGTTTCAGAGGCGAGAGAGCTGCCCTAAACACGTCCCAGAGGGGAGCCACACCGAGCACTCCCCTCAGCCCCAGCAAGAAGTAGCCTGGAGTATCCATGTCTTGCTTCCCCAGCCCTTGCCCCAACAGTCCTGTCTCTAGAGGAAAAATGTTTCCTCCTTATCCCTCACACTTATCCTGAGTGGGCAGATGTTGCATGTGTTCAGCTTCCCTTGGGGTGATGCCCTTGCAGGAAACTGTGGAAGAGATGATTTCTTAGATGATGCCAGCCAAGGAAGCAGGTACAGGGACTGGGGTGGCTCACAGCTATGAGGAGGAAGGAGGGAGTGAGAGAAGATGTGGCCTGTGTATTGACTCTCCTCTGCTTTTCAAGCACTTGTCTCTTATTCCAATAGAAACAGATAGGTTAAAAGATGATAGATATAGATAGATGATAGATATAAATAGATAAAGATAGAGACAATTAAGAGATAGAGATAGATATATGGCAGATAGATGATAGATATAAATAGATAAAGATAGAGATAATTAATAGATAGAGATAGATATATGACAGATAGATGATAGATGGAACATAGAATACAGACAGATGATAGATAGATAGATAGATAGATAGATAGATAGATAGATAGATAGACAGACAGACAGATAGATGGATAGATGATAGACAAGGTTTTTTAAGAAGTTGAGTTTGGAACTCACAGGATGCATCCACCATGGTAAGTCACAATCCCATCAAAATCACCCCAATACTGAAGTGGATATGGGGACTTCAAAAAGGAGAATCCAAATTCAGTGTCTCCATGTGCTGGGCACTGTGCTAGGAAAAGATCCAGGCATTGAATAAAGCAGACAAGGTCACTGTCTCGATAGAGGTTATGGACCAATAGAGTAGACAGGCTATTTCTTTTCCTAATTTTTAATAGAGACAGGGTCTGGCTCCATCACCCAGGCTGGAGTGCAGTAGCACAATCTTAGCTCAGTGTAACCTCAAACTCCTGGGCCCAAGCACTCCTCCCACCTCAGCCTCCTGAGCAGCTGGGACTACAGGTGCATGCCACCATGCACAGCCAATTAAAAATATATTTTTGTAGAGACAGGGTCTCACTATGTTGCCCAGCAACCTCTGCAAACCTCTGCTGTCAAAGTAAGTCTTTTGCCTCAGGCTCCCAAAGTGCTGAATTACAGGCATGAGCCACTGACAGACATTAAACAAGTTGACAACACAGCATGATAAATGTAACAGACACATGAGGTGTAGTTGGAGCCAAGCTCAGTGGAAAGGGAAGCCTTTTTTCTCAAGTCCTGTGCTGTCCCCAAAGGAGATCTGTCTCTCTAAGGAAATGTCACTGCAGCTGAGAACTGAAGGATGGATTAGGAACCAGCCGGCCAGTCTAATGCTCAACAAGGCTCATGATCAGGAAATTCACCCTCAAAAGAAACATACACCATTTTGGTTTAGAATCAAATGGTTTAGAATCCATTTCCTTTAGATCGTTCATCATTAGATACTGAAAAGAACCGGCACCCTTCCTGCCTAAGACACAATCACATCCTTCAGGTCCATTTTTAAACATCTCTGGATGCAGTCATCACAAATCCTTTAACTATATTTAGGTGATAAAAAAGGAATGGGAAACAAAATCCTGAAGACTTCCTCCCATGATGTTGGATTCATGAGCTAACTGTGTGGAGGCAGGGGACTGGCTCAGAAAACCCTCCTGTTCATTTTTGGGTTCATTAAAAAGTTGAGATGCTAGACCCTTAAGCTTTGGACTCAAACTATTAGGAAGGACTTTTTCCTGCCTATGAAAGAGCAATTTTTAATATAAAATCCAATAGTCAATTCCAGACCCCTTGAAAGTAAATCAGGTATATTGGGAGCAAATGATGTCCATGGTGACATGGACATCAGCTCTGGGGTAGAAACTAGAATTCAAATCCTGAATTTGCACTAATTAGCTGTGATCTTGACCTTTCATAACCTTGCAGAAGTCATTAAACTTTCATCCCATACAGGAGGCCAGTAATGCCAACCACGATGTTAATATGAGGGCTGCTTTAGATAATGGAACCGAAAACACTTCACACACATTAATGCACTCTAAGAGTGCAGTAGAAAAGGGAAGACGGCCATTTCCCTTGAGGGTCATCATCTCATAATTTAGAGAAAGAAATGCTCATTCAGGTTCGTAGGAATTCTTTTTTAATGGATGACTCTAGAGCAGCGGTCCTCATGCATGGTGTAGCTCCAACAGTGCTGAGATGGGTTGCAAGTAATGAGTTTCTAATAATAAAGTACTCAAGTGTGCAGAAGACTGGCTATTTCTTGTAAATTATAACAGATTTAAGATTATTCCCTGATATAATTCTCTTTTGTAGAAGACAGGAAAGGATAAAGTTTTAGGTATTATCATTGAGTATAAGCCACAGACCATCTAAACCTCAAACTGCAGTGTGTCCCCCATGTGAGCTCTACCCATGAGGCATGTCTTTTCAGAAAAAGGTTGAGGGTGTGGCACAGAGGCACAAAAACTTAGCTTTGCCTTCTTTCCTTAGCCCAAATAGTCTCAAACCACAACTCTAGCAGGTAAATGGACTCCCTTACTCATTGTAGCCCACATTGTTACCAATGCAAAAAAAGTTATTCTATTCTACCTGAAGTGCAATTTTATTCAGAAACCCTGAATTTGTGCTTCAGGACAGGTGAGACCTCAAATCCCAGCTCCAGTGGGTGGATCATGATTGGTCTAAGTCAAGCACTGTGGTCCAAGCTCTTCTTGCCAGTGATTGGTTAGGTGTGGGCATGTGACCCCATTCATCCAATGAGAAATAAGGAGAGGTCAATTAAGGACTTCCCAAAAAGCCGCTCCTCCAATTTTAGAAGAGATGTTTGTGAATATACACTCTTTCTTCTGCTGCTAAATATTGATTTTTTTTTTCCTAGGATGCCTGGAACTGTGGGATTTAGTTTAGGAACATGAGGGGTGCTAAATTGCAGGAAGACACTGGGAGTGGCAGAATTGAAAGTTGGAAAAATAAACCTGAGTCTTGATAATATCATTGACTTCCTGGAATCATCCCAGACTTCTTGCCCTGGGAGGTAATATTTTATGAGAGCTGATTGTTCTGTTACTTACAGAAATATTCAGCTGGTATGTACAGATAGGGATATACCAAAATATACACAACAGATAACAATCACACGAGACACATGATGGTTTGATGCATAGATGGGTTGTAGCTTAAGTTCAATCATGATACCTATAACTCCATCTCTGTCTCTCCTGCCCAATAAAGCCAATTTGAGTAAAAGTGAGTGAGAAAGATGTTATCATCGTCATTGAGAGAATAAACTTTATTCTCATTTACAAGACATAGTTGTTTACAACCAAGCATTTGAATTAGCTAGTGCCTATACTCTACTAATTTTTAAATATTTCTATTATGACATGTACTTGCATCTGAAGGCATCTTAAATGATGTTTTTGTTTTTGTTTTGTCAGCACAACTATCTCGCTGTTCTGAAAAAGTCTACTCTTGTCTCCAAGAAGTCACCAGAAGCAAGGAGCTAAAGGACTGAGGCCCTAGGAGCCAAATGGTTGTACATTCGTATCCCAGAGTTTGTCCTATTCCTCCTGCCTGACCCCAAAAGAGGCACCTGTATGACCTTGAAAGACACCCTGTAAACCATCCCCTAAATGTACACTAATAAAACCCTAGGCCCAAGCTTCAGCCACAAGATCAAGGAACTTTCAACGAAATGGATAAGATTTGTCTCTAAACCAATGCTTGACACTCAAGATCCCTAAGTAAATTATGAATTTTCCCCAGTAGCTTAAAATAACTTCTATACCATATGACACTTTTTGCTTCTCCAGAATTTTTGTTTCCCTTCTCCCCAAATGTGTGCTTCTAAAATCCTGAGTCAGCTTAGAGGTTCTCATGATTTTCTTCCCACCACTATTACAGGGCAGACATGATAAACCACTTGCTTTCAGAATTTTGAGGAGTAAAATTTTTTTTCTTGCTTTCTTACTCAGAAGACCCAATGGTGAGACAGTGAGAGGGCTGGTACAGCTCTGAGAAGTCTGACAACAAGGGTCCTCAAGGAATTGTGGGGATCCTGGAGACATGGTTACTGCTATTCATCCAACAGGTCCTGGGAGGCTTTCCCTGGTGCTTTAAATCAGATGAGATCTCCCTATTATGCTCTCACAAGATCCAGTGCTTCTCCTTCATAGCACTTACCACAAGTGTAATTAAACAAAGGCATCATTAGTTGTTTACTGTCTGTCTTCCAGATAGACTGTAAGTTCCAGGAGAGAGGAGACTATGCCTCTCTTGTCTACAGTGGTATCCCCAGTGCCTAGCAGAGCACAGATATTGGTGTTCAACTAGTATGCGTTGAGTGAACAATTGAATAATTTGAAAACCATTGATTGTTGACTCAACTCACAAAATTGCTCAGAGAGTCTGGGCAAGTCAAAGGTCAGGTTGCTGTGGGCCTTATGGTTTCCAAATGCTCATTAAGTCAAAAAGGATAAAAAAATACCAAATATGGGTGTGCAAGACTGTGCACAGGGAACCAGTTCCAAGCACAGTGAGGGCTCCAGTGCAGTGTAAACACCTACGCCATTTCCCACTGTGCCACTAAAAAATCCATTACCCTATTATCTTCTTCTCATTTTGTACTCCAAGTCTTCTTGTCCTGATCAGATCATTGTCTTCTTGTTTAGTTAGTGTCCTCTCCTTTATCGTCTCAAAGGATAAAATGAAAGGAAACCGGACAAGTCAGAAGACCACGGTTTTGCCACCAATTAGTTTTGTGACCTTGGGAAAGTCACTTGCAGCCCTTGAGGCTTCCTTATCTTTCCAATCAAACAAGTTGGCTACATAATTCCTAACACCCTTTCCCATTCTGACATGCCCTGTTATCAGACCACG
This sequence comes from Homo sapiens, assembly GCF_000001405.40. NCBI lineage: Eukaryota > Metazoa > Chordata > Mammalia > Primates > Hominidae > Homo > Homo sapiens. The sequence continues at coordinate 35,153,011 of NC_000011.10, read as the reverse complement.
ATAACTTCCTTTCTCTTTTTCTCCTCTTCTCCCTCTTTGAACACATATTTTGGTGTTGCTGCATGGGCCCAGCTCAGTTTATACCTTCTAAGCTGTCCCGTCAGCACTAGCAAAGCATCTGATGATTATCCCATTCCCACCTCTAGCCCTTTATTGAGTTATCCCAGCAAGGGCACTGAGAGCTGGCACTGAGAGCAAGGGCAGGCTGAATGCATTTGCAAGCCTTAGGAAGTGGCACAACCAAGAAGCCTGAGCCAATACTGGGCCCACCTAGATAAGGAGGGAATGGCAGCTTGGAGGAGACTGCTGAGCATTCCAAAGAATACAGTTTCAATGATTGGGGTCAACCAGCAACAGGAGACATAGATAGAGGCGAAAGTTATCCTAGGTAATAATAGGACCTTGTAGTTTTATATCACGTGTTTCTGCCTACTAGCACAAAACACTTTCACACCAGCAGGCAAAGGTGGAGAGGTCTAGGGGAGGCAGAGGGATTATTATCCCCAAATGGTTCACACAGTATATTGAACCATTAGACAGATAAAGCCAATAGCCCAAGGTCAAACAATTAGGCTTTCACAGGGTGGGAATTAGAGCAGAGTGTCCTAATCTTACCCAGGGGCTATTTCTGGTAGACTTTTGATGGAGCCTTTTGTTTATACCTTGGTTCTATCTTATCTTACCTGCCCAGGTAGCTAGCCTACTTTTTCCCTTGGGGATGAGTAGTGGGAAACTTGAGTGGCCCAGAGTGAGCCAGCTGGCCAGCCTGAGCTCAAAATCCAACCTTCTTGACTTGGATGCTCTAAGCAGGACTTAGTGAGGCCAGCTCATGGAATGTGGCTGCTGTTTGCATTTGGGAGGCACAGAAGAGCTTCCAGTGGCAGCTGAGAATGCAGAGGCTCCAGGGCTGATAAAAGTTGTAATTAACATGCACATACCACCCTTTCATCTTCAAAAGCTTTCCTCGCATTAGCTAGTTATTCCTCCTGTCGCCACCACGGGTGAGGCATCACTTTTGTCTTCTCAGTTTGCAGTTGAAGAAACTGATGGGAAGAAGGGACCCTTTGCCAGGAAGTCTGGCCCTTGTTCAAACACAGGAAATATCTGGCTCCCAGCATCTAACTTCATGTGGGTAAATGGGAAGACAGAATGGGAGTGAATCCTAACAAAAGGCTCAAGTGACTAACCTCTGCCCTCTGGGCAAGAGACTGCTTTTTTACTGTTCTAGAAGGAGATAGAGTCTATAGTATGGCTAGCTGGACAGATTCTAGAATGGCTAAACTCCCAGAGGACTATACACACAACTCTCAGAAACATTAACAAAGAAAGCCTGCTGCTCCACTACGGTGATGTCCATGTGATGCATGGGGGTCAAATCCTTCATATTGTGCCCATAGCAGACATCACTAATGGATCACAGCACTCTCCATACCTGAGCCAAGGTTTGACTTCTTAGTACAGCATTTTGGGAAGCCTCTAGGAGTCAATGGGAAATGTTCCTTGAGCTAAAATCTATTTGCTATTGCCACAGTAGGTCTTGTTTGGGATTCACTTAAATTGCCACTCTCTAACCCAGGCAAAGTTGCCAAAGTTCTTTCTCACTGTTGGAGCTGGCCTGCTTCTGAACTCTGTCTAGCACTGTCTGAGAGGGTGATTCATGAGAACTTCTGAGTTTCTGGGGCAGAAAAATTGGATCTTCTGCCAGTGGACAGTGCCACTGTTACTTGATTGCCTGGAATCTGTCCGACCTCATCTCTCACTGTTCTTTTCATGAATTCTCTTATCCAAGCAGACAGACCCCTCCCCTGGCCCCAATCAAGCCATTCTTATTCCCCCACTTTAAACACCTGGCTCATGTTTTGCCTTTCCCTGGGTTTCTCTCCTCTCCCCTCTCTCTGTCTATCTTCTTTTCCACATTCAACTCATCCTCAAATTCCTTGAAGCCTTCACATGCAATCGAGATGTCTGTTTTTCCTGTCTTCTGACACTTGGTTATGCTCTCTTGCATAATTCTTTCACCTGTTTAACTTTATTTCCACCAAATGGTAAGCTCCCTGAGGACAGAAACTAGGTCTTCCACTTTCCTCATTTCTGTCCACAGTGCCAATACATTTTAAGGAAATTTTAAGTTGGTCAGTTTGTCACCATCTTATAACTGGGGAGACAGAGGCAACCAACAGGGGAAGGACCTTGCCCACAGTCACCCTGTGACTGAGAGGGAGAAGCTCTCCTGGCTATGAGTGGGTTCTCACTTCTCCTAGAATACTGTGTCTGTATGATTAGCTGGAGAGACAGATGACTGAACCGTATCAGCAATAACTGAGGGCATTGCACAGGATGTGAGATCTGAGCACATCTGGGATTTTATTTCAGCTAATGGTCAGTGGATTCCAGATGGGTATAAAGTCAGCACAACCAAAAGGAGCTGTGATCTGACGAAGGACATTCAGTGACTGACAGAATGCCAAAAACTAGCCTTATATTATAGCCTCTGACACATTTTGACAAAATCCTAAGTCGTGCAATCTTTATGATTTCCATTTTTCTTTCTTTTTCCTGAGCAAGAGTTTCTCTGGTTTTATGATGAAAAGAAATTTTTACTGGGGGTCTGGAGGACTCTCAGTAGAAGCAGAAATTCACCATCTCTCAGGCCTGCCTTGCTCAGTGCCTTGATTTGGGGAAAGATTATATATAATCTTTTGTTTGGTCTAGCTTTTTTTCCCCTAGATTCTCAGGCTACCCTAGTTGCATAGGATACTAGCACTCACCCTGTAAGTACTGCTTTGTCTGAATATTGTGGTTAATTTTGTGCCAACAAGTTACAGGGGTTGCTTGAGGAAAGCTGGCAAGTCCAAGGTGCTCATGAAGCTCTGAGAGTGAAGGGAACAATTTTTCTCTTCTTCAGAGGTTGGCTTTTCTGGCCATGTGAAGCAATGTTTTTAAAGTACAATATAAAGAGTACAGTGTTCAGATCCTGCAGTTAATCCCAGGACTGACTTCCTGCAGTTTCAGTTGTGTGACTGGGACATGTTCCTAACTTCTCTGGCCAGAGCTGCTTCATCTGCTCACCTTCCACATGGTCTAGAGGATTCTATGAAGTACTACGGGCAAAGCACTTTGTCCCTACAACACTCTTGCCCATTGGAGTTAGAGTGTAATTGGGTCCATATGTTTATTTCTGGCATGGATTAATAATTCACTTTTGACATTTAATACAAATCAGGCATCAATTTTTTTTGACACTGCCTTATGGTGGTTTTGTGTTATTCTTTCCATTAGGTTTTATGAGGCTCAGGTGTTAGTAAGCCCACAGAGTGGTGAATTTATAGAACATGAGGCCTGGAAAGGACTTGACAGATCAACTAGAATCCAACCCTCGCATTTTACACATGGAAAAATAGAAGTAAATGGGGGTGAAATACTTTGCCTAGCAGCACATAGTGAATCAGTAATAGAGAGAAGCTAAAATATAATAATCATTTCTATTCTTGGGATACCTTCTGTGAACTAAACATTAAGCTTTAGAAATTACGTGCTAAGTATTGTTCCAGACATTTAACAAGTGCAACTGCCCAAGCTCACGCTGCTGTTAAGTGGCAAGAGGGGAATCAACTGGTGTATGGGTCCTCCCGTCTTGTTCCACTGCCTTTATACCTTCTAAATGACTCTTATCAAAGCCAGACCTCCTCATCTTCATTACACCACACCAAGCATCTGATTATATGGAGGTGATTTTTAGTCTGGGAGGTTTTCAAACCATTGACCGAAAGAAACAACTGCCCTTTTATTCCTCTAGCATGGTGACCAAAAAGCCAACAATTTTTCTCTGAGTATTGTTGAGAACATGATTTTAAGGTTTGGGGTCTTTTTATACATGAGGCCAGATTTGGAAGTAAAGGTGTAGACAAAGAGGCAGCCAGACCTATAGGAAATCCAGATCCCCGTTCTACTGGACAAAATACAATTAGCTCTAAACTTCCCCTGCCTTGTGTAACATTTCAAACCTCAAGAAAGATCTCTTTAGACTGAAGAGAGTGCAGAGAACAGAAATTTCAAGGGAGGAGGCGGGTTGAGGATCGCTACAAGTAGCAATAGAGAAAAATGAAAGAAGATTTGTATAGACCAGAAAGAAAAAAAATGAAGAAAAAGAATTAGACAGAACCTATAAAAATCACAAAAGATAAGTAACGGAGATGGCTTTGCTAGCCAAGTCTAGAAACATTATTAATTCAGTAAGCCATCCAAGTGTTTATTGAGCACCCACTATAATTGGGGAACTGTGCTGACCGCTCAGGGCTATCATGAATATGAAAATGTATAGAGGGTTTGGGCTTTTCCCTAAGGAGCTTTTATGCTCACTGGCAAAAGAAAAGAGATAACCATTACATGGCATCCTTTAAACTTTCTCTTTTTAAATGGAGATGTGTTTGTGAGGTTTTTATGAATTTTCAGGGGGAACAATAGGAGAAAGCAAGTCACTTAAGGGAGTCTACAGGAATGTACCTGACCTCTAATGATATTGTAAAGACAACTAGTCTCACTGCAGAGGATCCACTGCAAAAACAAACTCCTTGACAGGAGATTTCTTCCCCGAACTTTTATCCCCTCTTGTGGGTTACCTGAATTCCCCTCCCCCTCTTGCAGGCAGATGTGGGCCCAGTAACTCACTGGTGGCTGCGGAGCTGACGTCAGCTGGTTTCCTGCAAGATGGTGCTTAGTTAGCTCTGTTAGATTCTGGTTTTTTGACTGGATACTCAGCAGAGGCAACATCTGTGATTGGCATGTAGTAGCTACTCATTTAAAGTGTGCAAAGACTAGAGCTGGGGGCTTGGGCAGAAATGCCCTTCTAAGCCAAACGCAGGAGACCAGGTGTTGGCTGCATGGAATTGTTCATTTCTCCCTGGCACCTTTTTTTTTTTTGAGACCGAGTTTCGCTCTTGTTGCCCAGGCTGGAGTGCAATGGCGTGATCTTGGCTCACTGCAACCTCTGCCTCCCGGGTTCAAGTGATTCTCCTGCCTCAGCCTCCCAAGTAGCTGAGATTACAGGCATGCACCACCATGCCCGGCTAATTTTTTTGTATTTTTAGTAGAGACGGGGTTTCTCCATGTTGGTCAGGCTGGTCTCGAACTCCCGACCTCAGGTCATCCGCCTGCCTCGGCCTCCCAAAGTGCTGGGATTACAGGTGTGAGCCACCTTTCCCAGCCCTCTCCCTGGCATCTTAATGTGCATAATAGTGAACACTTGCAAAGGGGCTTTACTGTTATCGTGCTACTATCTTGGAAAGGAAGTGGAAAAAGATGCTGCCTAGTTCCACGATTGGTGTGTGGATCCTCCTAGAAGTCACTGCAGACCTGTTAAGTGTAAAGAGATGCACTAAAATTGAAAAAAAAAAAAGTTGGGGGAAGGGGGCTGGAATATGGGATGAGTCCTCATTCCCAGGAAAAGGCCTGCATCCCTTCCTGTGGACTGAGCCAGATGTTCCCAGGGGGCCTTGCCTCCTCCCTTCCTGGGTGGCTTTTTTCTCAGTGAGGGGTACCCAGAGGAAACTCTCTTGCTCCCTGATGGGATGGTCACATGCTGGGCCAAATAGAAGCCTGGTCATCTGGTTTAGGCTAGGGCTGGAGAGAAGGGCTATAGTATACTTCCAGCTTTTGCCAAATTCCTTGTGCCCTGGATATGTACAGCCCTACTCCTGACAGCCTCTTTTCTCAGAGTTTCTCTCCCTCCCTCATCCATTCTAGCCGGTGGAGAGAAGACCCTGGAACCAAGGGCCTGTAAGGTGAGGGCAAATATTTTGCTGCTATTTGATTGGCTCATTTCCCAGTCAAAGTTCTAGCTGATGGAGAAACACTAATCAGCCACCTTTACCTTTCATCCAGGTGACAAATAATGAAGTGATAATGAACAAACAACTCAATTCACATCCCTTTCAGCCCTATCCTATCCTAATGAACAAACAACTCAATTCACATCCCTCTCAGCCCTACCCTATCCTCAACTTTCCATCACATGGAAGAGAGTAGAGCTTCTATTCAGAGATCAGAATGAATGAGTCAACTCAGAATATGCATTGGCAGAAGTTTCCATTACAACTTCCTCCTCCTTCATTTTTGCAATTCTAACCCCTTCCTCTGACATCATGTTTAAAAGCTCAGTGGATGTTATGACCTCACCCACAACTAGATTCCCAAATGAAGTTTTTGAAAACAACTACAGTACTTCCAGGTACAATCGTCTGGATTTCTAGGGTGCCTCGATATCTTAATATACCAAGAGAAGCACTCTAACATAGTGACAAAGAGCATGAACTCTGTAGCCAGATGTGAGTTTGAATCCCAGCGCCATCACTTATCAGCTGCATGGCCTTGGGCAAGCTACTTAAATTCTCTGTGCCTCAGTTTCCTCATATGTAAAAGACAGATAATAACAGCACCACCTTCATGAAGTCAGTGTTTGGATTAAACAAGGCAGTATATAGGAAACAATTAGAATGGCGCTGGTACATGGTCAACACTCTGTAAGTGTTTGCTATTATTACTAATAGTGGTGAGGGTTCTCAGAAACATAGAACTTGTGCAAAGATGCAAACAGAAAAAGCGTAAGAGCTCTCAAAAACAAATGAACTTTCAGGCACTGCGAAGGAGACTTGCAATGCCACAACAGCAGATGCTCAAAATGACTGGTCTATGTGAATAATCTCTTCCCTCAACCCCGGAGTTTTGCAATTAACCTTTACTTTTAAAAGCTGAAGACCTGAAAGTTTCTGGGACCTGAGTTTTGCAAATCACCTCCTTGGTGACTCAGTCCCTCCCCACCCACCTGAGATCTGTCTGCCCACACTTGCACTTCGCAGGGACACTTACCTCAGGAGGACACACCCAGGCAGCCAGTGCAACTCAAACTCGGGGAGATCTGGCTCTGTGAGTTTCCATCGTTCCCCACCCCCACAAGACCCACCCCCTCATTCTGTGTTTGTCTCCCTGTCTCTCAGGTCTAGCTGGGCAGACAATCTTTGGGAAGACAAAACCTGCCCCAGTTATGGGTAATTTCTGACATCACAAGCTCTGTGGAGAGGAGACACCGTTTGCCATTGCCAAAGTGGCTCCCCGTCGGATGTCAGGATTCCCTACGGATTTGCCCCCGAAGAAGCTATGGTAGTATCTGGTCAGATGACAGCTTGATAATTGCCCAAAGAGACCGACAGAGAAGGCAAGAATCTCCCGCATCTCCCATATAGTACTTCTACTTCTCTCCTCTGCCACCACCTTCCAGAAGCAGACATGGGGGTTGGAGGAGTGTGGGCCTCTCACCCAAGGATCTCAACCTCGTATCAGTATCTCCAAAATAACTAGAACCCCAAGGTGGCTGCTGCTGGGGAGTGTTTTTGTTTTGAGGCTTAAATTTGGGGTTGGTGTCCTCATCTCACTGGCTCCCACTCCCTTCTCAGCCCAACTATCTAGTAACCCTGTCTTTAGCCAGATGTCCCCAGCGGTCACAGCAGGCAGCCACCAAAGCCGCAAACAAACAGATGGGTGAGCTCACTGTTTGGGGTAGACCAAACATGAGGCCTGTGGTGGGCAGTCAGCCAGCCAAGTCAGCCCTGTCCTGAGCAACACAGCCATCACCATGGTTCTCACTTACACATAAATGTATTTGCACCTTAGCCCATACTGACAGCATGCTTCCATATATATAGATATCATGACTTTTATATTCTAGACATTCATTGCAGTTCAACAGTTATGGGTCAATATTACTGGGATCTGGGCCCACAAAAATGAATGTGACATGATCCCTGTTATCAGGGGACTCCCCCAGTGCTGCAGAAGACAGGAGAAGATACATTGGAATTTGTTTTGTTGTGGTTATTTTCCCCTTTAAGGGGCATGAAAGTCTTTAGCATTCTTTGGCATCACCAATTCCCACCACACACATAGATCCTTCAGGCATGTACTTATAGGCATACCTGCAATGTGCATATGTCCACATCCAGCAAACAAGAATCAAACATGTGGCTTATCTTGGTACGTCACCCAGTGGGGCAATTGAGCAATGGAGAGGGGAGGAATATGAAATACTTACCTCCAAAGTACACATGTCCTGAATCAAACATTAATTTAATTGACACCATCCTAGTTAAGGAGTTGTAAAGATGTGAATTTCTTTATGCAAAAAGCATTTTTAAAAAGTGTTTGACTTTCAATTACATTAAGTCATGTATTTATTTGTGGAAAAATATATAAACATTTAGTCAAAATATGCACTAGACATCAATTGGTAGAGTGTTTGCATATTTGAGATCCTGACTCTCCCAGAAAATCTGGAACGCACAATGACTGTATCCATGCCTGGCCAGACTCCAGAACCACAAACTTTAGAAAGCACCCCTTCCGGTTTACTCTGGCAAGTTGGGCTTGCCTCGCAAACCCAGTTGGGCAGCTGTGGGGGGTACACTTAAAAAAAATTCAACCTGCTAAGTGAGTGAAAAGTGGGATTCAAATTTAAGGTAGAAGGTATCAACCTACCCTGCCATTCTAAAGAACGCCTACAACCTTCCCATTAAAGCAGGGACACAAAGGAAATTGAGTCATCGGTTTCTTGCTGTGCAAACCCCAGAATTTCTCTCTGAGGCAGAAAAAGATCCCCTTTGAAAACTACACGGTGCCTGGTAGCATCTGCCACCTGCTTCAGCTCATTCTTTCGCAAGAACCACTTCCCTTTCAGGCTCTTCGGTGGAGTGACCTAAAGCGAAGGTGCCGGGGAAGCACAATTGCAGTTACTCTCTTATCCCCAGCCCCAGCCCCAGCCAGGAGGCAGTGCTGAGGAGGCCCAGGTGATCTCCAACCACCTCCTCTCCATCAGGGGACCCCAGCCTTGAAGCATCTGACACTGCAGGTGGATCCGAAACCTCACTTGGGTGGCCACATGTCACCTAGAGCCACACACTGGGTTTCAGTTCAAGACCCATGTCAGCCTCCTACCCAGGGTCGCACAACCTACTAATGAGCATGTGAGGAGTGGGTCTCTGGGTCTGTGCATGTGAAATGCTTGCCTGGTCAGAGTGAGAGCTCCTGTAATGCTGCTTTCCTAATATTCAGGCAGAGGGCATTGCCCTAACTTGTCCTGTAGACAAGCAACCACCTCTCTCTTTATTCCAAGCCTGTAAATCAGAGCATATCTGGGAGGGCAGCTGGACTCTGATAAGGGATGTGATTTATTTTAGTTACAAATAACTTGGTTGGCATCTCTGATATCTGTGGCCAAACCTGGGGAGAGACAGGCCAGGGCAGGGCAGCCAAGAGTCCACAGCCTGCCGGGGATGGAGAGAGAAGCCACCCATGCAAGAGTTCACTTATGCTGGCCACAGGGGACAGGTAGTGTGGGAGAGCCACGTATAGCTTCCAAAGTCCTCCAGACACGTAATGAATTGAAGGAGCATAAGCATTGGAGTCTAACATGGGAGGATGTTAGATAATGCGGAAATCCCAACTCCACCACTGGATCCTGGGGCAAGTCATGCCATCTCCACAAGTCTCGATCTCTTTATCTAGAAAATGGAGTTAAAGAGAGTGCTAGGTGTATTGGGCTGTTGGGAGGCTTAGATAAGATATCCTGTGCTACCCCCGGCTTCACATCTAGTATAGAGTCAGTGCTCACTGAGCAGTATTTCCTAGAGACTCAGGACTTAGGACCCTGCTTTACACAGGACCATATGGTACCACAGCAGAGCATCAGGTTTTTAAAACTTTGGTGCTCCTGACCATCTAGCGATGTTCCAGGAGGTGCTAGAAGCCCCAGGACAATACAGAGAATCATTGTCGAACACCAACATTGCTATATGGTCAAAAATATATATCATTATTATTGTATTAAACTCAAATTGGGTATATTGTAGAGTAATATATAAAACTGTAATGAGTCTGTAAGGTAGTATTTAAGGTGTGAAACAAATGTTGTTACCCCAGTAGACCACACCCTCCCCACCCACTGCAGGGGGTGGGGTTGAGGCTCCCACAGTCCTCATGATAGAGATACATGAGAGAAATGCCCTGCCCTAATATCTTAACAAGTCGCAGAGAGGGGAAGTCACTAGTCCCTCTCTTTCAGATTTTCTAAATGATCCTTAGAGTTCCCATCTCTGAGTCTATGACAATGAGTCAGGAAATAGTTCCTGAATGAATGGAAGGGAATCTGTCATGAACTAAGAATTTCATGCTGTCCAGCATCCCCTCCTTTGTGGGGAAATTTGGGAAAAAACAAATGGAACATTTTCCTACTGGCTGCCAGCCTCCCACACAAGGACTTGTCACCATGCCTTTGCAGCAAGTAGATGTCCAATGTGTAAATGGGGAATACCTGAATTAGTTGATGCTAGCCCCAACAGAGATGAAGCTTTGCCTCTTTGCTCCTTCACATGGGAAAACACAGCTAAAGTTCTAACTCCCAGCAGGGGGCGGAGTCTCTAATGCTCAATTAGAGAGAAGGGAGCAGAAAGGTGTGTGCCAGCCCTAAGACCCAGGGCTCTCAGACGCTCTCCTCTTTCTCAACACCAGGCATGCAATTCCCAAGCAAAGATCCCCTCACCCAGTCTATCATTGTTGGACATTTGGGTTGGTTCCAAGTCTTTGCTATTGTGAATAATGCCACAATAAACATACATGTGCATGTGTCTTTATAGCAGCATGATTTGTAGTCCTTTGGGTATATACCCAGTAATGGGATGGCTGGGTCAAATGGTATTTCTAGTTCTAGATCCCTGAGGAATCGCCACACTGACTTCCACAATGGTTGAACCCTAAAACTTAAAGTATAATAATAATTAAAAAAAAAGATCCCCTCACCCACAGAGACAAGGAGATGCATGTGCATGAAGGACTCATCCCCCCTGGCCTCCACCAAGGGCCACTTTCTTCCTCCTGCACAAGACCCCGAATTCAAGATATCTGTTCCCCAACTCAGAGTTTCTGGGTCCAATGTCACTTAACTACATTTGGCCATTTCTCCACTTTTTGCTTTCCCATACAAAGACTGGACTCCTCCTCAAAGCCTTGCTCCTTTCCAAAGTTTCCTCGTGGTTGTCCAGAGTCCACCACTCCCCAGAATGGGGCAACAAGAGCTCCTTTCCTTCCCCTTTCCTCCTTCTCCCCTTCGCCACCCACACCATGCCCAGCCCCAAGCCCTCTGACAAAGTCATGTCTCCTTTCCAAGTCCCAGTTCCTGCCAAACAACTTTACAAGCACATGAAAGCGAGGGCCGGGGCAGTTATTGCTACTGGCACTTCATTGTACTTCCTCTAAATGATGCTGCGCAAAGGGGCCGTGGAAACACGGGGCAGGAGGGAGACTGCGGGTCTCTGGGAGAACCTCAAGGGTTAGGACAGTGCCAAATATTTGGAAGTGGGGCCTTTTAGAAGGAACGGGGAGACAGGTTGGAAGGAGTCAGGAGTCAGAATGCCCAAAGACAAAGCAGAAGATGGCACTGGTAGGTAACATACAAATAAACTTCCCTAGAGACTATAGGGAAACCACCAGGGCCCTCTTCTTTCAGGCCAGGCCCAGGGCTCTCCCTGATCTCCAGCTTGACTCTTCTCTCCCATCCTGAATGTTTCCACTTTTCAAGGGCTTATTTGAGCTCCAGTCCCTTTTGGAACTTTCCCTAAGGCCTAGAGTCCACCAAAATCCTTCCCTCCCTGAAATCCTTCCAAGTTCGTCCATCTTATACAGTCTAACATATTCTAAGCCTAGGCTTTGGAGCTCAGTGGAGCTGGGTTTCCATCCAGCACTGCTCCTGGCTATGTGAATGCCAGCAAGTCACTTAACGTCTCTAAGCATCAGTTTTCCTCCTGTCAAACAGGCCTGATAACAGGAAGCTTCTTACTAGGCCATTGTGAGGGTAGAATGAGATAACACATGGAAAATATTTAACATAATGCCTGGCACAGTGAAAATATACAGTAAATGGTAGCTAGCACTGTATTCATTTTTTTTTTTTTAACAGAGTCACGCTTTGTCACCCAGGCTGGAGTGCAATGGCATAATCTTGGTTCACTGCAACCTTCACCTCCTAGGTTCAAGCAATTCTCCTGCCTCAGCGTCCCAAGCAGCTGGGACTACAGGTGTGCACCACCACACCCTGCTAATTTTTGTATTTTTTGTAAAGATGGGGTTTCACCATGTTGGCCAAGGCTGGTCTCAAACTCCTGACCTTGGGTAATTTGCTGCCTCAGCCTCCCAAAGTCCTAGGATTACAGGCATGGGCCACCATGACAGGCTGTGTTGTTGCTATCATTATTATTATTATTTCAGCTTCAGTAGTATAAATCCTAGATCCCCAAATCCCCACCTAGCAAAGACCTCTCACTCACACAGAAAGGGAGATGCATATGCACAGAGAACTCATCCTGCCTAGCCTCCACCTAGGGTCACTTTCTTCCTACTGCAGAAAGTAGGAAGATAGAGAAAGCAGAAAGTAATTCAAGATACTTTATACTGGGTACTCAATCTAAACTACCTGGGTGAGACTGTGTGTTTCAATTTCTCAGTACTCCCGTGGAACTGGGTTAATAAATATTTGCTGAGTAGAATTTACTGCATGCAGGCTGAGCTGTCTTAATGACCCAGCTGGCACTTCTTAAAAGAAAGATTAATTTTGGCCAGCGATAAGCAAATCGGCCATGTAATTATCTGTACATACATAGACAAAGAAAGAGAATGCTTGGAGTTGAGCCGTGCTAGAATATACCTTACACGCAGCCCCTCCCCTCCATAGCCACCACAAAGCACTGACCCTGTTTGGATGAGATATTGGAGCCCTAGCTCCAGGGTCCCTGATGTTGCCCTGGTATCAAGGCTCTTCTCTCTGCTCTGAGGCTGCCAGGCAGGGAATATAAGCCACCTTACTGTTGAGATTTCCCCACACTGATTGGCAGAAGCAGGAGGTGGTGAGGACCAAGCAGCTGGTCCAGTGGTTGCCTCTCATATTCATGCTCCCTATCCCAGGCTGGAATCTCATGGAGACCCAAGACCTCACCGCAGAGCTGGTTCAAGCTTCCACAGCGCTAAGGTGGCAGTGACACTGCGGACTGTAAGCTTTGGAACAAGGCTCAGTGGGGAGCTGGGAGAACCCAGGACCCCTTTCTGGAAAACCCATTGCCAGCTAGTCTCACACTTGGAATTGTGATCCCTTCTGTGACCACCTTGATAACAGCCACTCGCCCTGTTCCAGCCCCAGTCTCTGCCCCGCCCAGCTCTGCCCTGCCTAGACACAGCCCGGTGGGGCTTGGCGAGCCCTTGGGCACAGGAGCCTGTTAGTCCAGACAACGACTGTGCGCATCCGGGAGAACGGTTACTTTCTGCCATGTGCTGCAGCTCTAGCGACCTCGCCCAAAACTGCGCGCCGGCAGCCTGCCCAACAAACTTTCTTCTCTTTCTCTTTTTCTTTCAACCAAATGGTGCTTCCACAGACACATTCTCCAACGGTTTAGCGCAAATCCCAGCCCTGCTTTCCGGAGCCCAATGCACTTCGCAGACAGCTCACTTGACTCCAGTCCCCCAGGGCCGACTCAGCCGGAGGGGCTGCCGCCGGGTCCGCGCTGAGCACCCCGCACCCATCTTGCTGCCCAGGCTGCGGCGGGCACTCACCGATCTGCGCCAGGCTCAGCGGCACGAGGCAGAGTCCCCAGGCTGCGTGCCACCAAAACTTGTCCATGGTGTCCGGAGCGAACGGAGGGCGCGGGCGAAAGGAGCTGGAGGATCCCTGGGCGCGGGGCAGGGGCCGGCGGAGGACGGGACGAGGATGGCGGACCGAACCTGGCAGAGGCTGGGGTCCGCTGGGCAATGAGGCTGCCTCGGAAGTTGGCTGCAGTTTTTATTCGAGGTTGAAAACAGTGACCTAAGACGGAGGGAGGGAGCGAGCGAAGGACACACCCAAGCAAGGGGGGCTGTGACTAAGCAGCCCGCAGAGGTTTTAAGAAGTAGCAGCCCTCCCGGGCGGGCCCCTCTGCCCCCGCCCCGTGCTCTGCTGAGGCTGTAAATAATCGGGGCTGCCAGGGACGTGGGTCGGGGAACCTGGAGTGTCGCGGGGTGCCTGTGCCTCCGAGCCCCACTGGCCCCTGCGCCCAGAGACGCACTGGCTTTCTTCTCCCGCTGGCCCCGCGGCGTCAGGACAGAGGATGACCGAACCGTAAAACCTTGCACCATTGGGTTCAGCCTTTGGCCTCTCCTTTCCCGCTAAATTTCTCTGAATCCGGCTGGAGCAAGATCTCTGGGTTTCACAGGATGTTGGATATCCTGGGAGAGGAGCTGGAGAGAGGGCGAGGTCTTGCCCTGGGTGGCGCAGTGCCTCCGTGCCCACAGTGGGGAGTGAGGGGTGGGGAGTTGGTGAATCTTCCAAGTGGAAAGAGGGAGAGCTCATTCTTTTTCCCCTCAATAACAAGTCCACATGGCTTGAATGAATTTTAGCTTCTTGGCAGAACAGCTCAGGGAAAGCTACTGATGGCCTGTCATAGGGCTGGCATTTGGCTCAGCTAACCCATGTGTTCAAGCCAGTGTGAATGGGCACCTCTCTCCACACACATGCTCATTCATCCTCCTAAATATCCTTCCATCCGCCCATCCATCTATCCACCCATCTTTCCTTATGTCCTTCTGGGGCTCTCACATCCATCCATCCTCCTGTCCATCCACTAACCACTTAGGTCCATCTATCATCCCACTCATTCATTCATCCAACCACACACCTTTTAATTTATTCAACCACCTATTCTTCTATTCATCTTCCCATACAACTTCTCATCCATCATTCCACACTTCCTTTTTCACATCTCTTCATAAAACCACAACCATCCACCATCCTCTTCTCCACCCATCCACCCACATATCTGTTTATTGATATATCCACTCATTTCCCATCTGTCCAAGATCAACATATCCACCTATCATTTTATCCATTCTCTCATCCACCCATACGTTCATCTATTATTTTTGCCCCCATTATCCTCCTTTCTGTGTAAACATTAATTCATTTTCTCCCATCTTTCCTACCCAGCAGATCTTAAAGAGAGGAAGAGTTTGTAATATTCTTCAGGGGAAGCCTTTTGAGATTGAAATATCATACTTTGAATGATAACTCTATATCTATCTATAATATACTATGGTTTAATGTTTGGAAATCAAACGCAGTATTTATTTGTCATGTGAACTACTAAAAGTAAATCTGCATGGACTTCTTGCCTGGTGAGTTACACAGAAAATGAAAGTGATTATCAGTGGCTGTGGCAAGATGAAAGGAACCATGCCAGGACTTCTGAGGGAAGGTAAGATTTTGTTATTTATTTCAAGAAATTGAAAAGTTGAGAGAAATGCACCCAGCCATCCCCCTATGCATTCATTCATCAGACATGTAATGAGTGTTGTGGGGTATCGAGGTAAATAAGACCTGGCGCTATCTTCAGAGCCCTCACCCTCTGGTACGGAATAAAACTCACAAGCAGGCCATTACCATGCAAGGTGAAATATGCTGCAAAATGTGTGTGTTTGGGGTGCTACCATTCCTAGAGAAGGGAGTCACACTCTCTCCTGGAGAACACCAGGCAGTCTTCACAGGGGAAGTGATATTTGAGGCAGGCCTCAAAGGAAAAGGAGGAGGAATTCTTCAGATGAAACTACAGGGACAAGTAAGTCATCCACAGGCAGTACAGTGTAGTGACGAACAGCATGGATTCAGGAGCTAGAACACCTAGATCCAAACCCTATTATGGCTGCTTCTTAGTTGTGTGACCTTGCCTAAGGCAATTAGCTCAATTTGCTCAAGTATAAAATGGGCTTAATAATAGTATCTATTATTACTATTACAATTCTATTACTTCATAGAATTGGTGAGGATTAAATGACTCAAAAGCCCTGCATGTATTAAGCCGTAGATTTATGTCTACATATGCATGCAGTAAGCACTTTAAATAAGTGTTTGCTATCATTACTAAAAGCAAAATTGTGTTTGAGCATAGAAAAGTGAAAGAACATGGCTTGTCCAGAGAATAGAGAGCAATGTGAGCTGATCTGAACATAGATCAGATGAAGGGGCTGGGGGAAGATAGCAGACATGAGGTTACAGGTATGGGGACTACAAGGTGTAAGCTATGCCAGGGAGTTTGAACTTGACCCTGTAGGAAATAAGGAGGCAACGTACTTAGTTAAAATTATTATCATTGTTATGTTAAAATATGCATAACATAAAATTTACCATTTCACCCATTTAAAAGTGTTTATAGCAGTGACGTGTAGTACTTTAACAATATTGTGCAACCACTACCACTGTCTAGTCCGGTATAAATTTTTCAGTTGTGGAGATTCTGTTTGACTAAAGACTACTCCTCTTGCATTTTCAGGAAGAGTGTTTGGGACTGAAAAATCCTTGTCTGGATCTAGTCCTCAGCCACTCAGAAGCTGGCATGCCATGACTCAAAGAGCCGCCCGTCTGGAATGAAGACAGTGACCCGTAACTCCCACCTGAAGAGCAGGTGCTTGGAAAATGCTGCCAGTCCGCAGGAAAAAGTTGTTACTGCTGCTGTCTGTGACCAAGAGGACACTTTATTTCTTGAAACAACTGGGGGCAAACTGGCTCCCAGATAAGGCTTCAGTCCCTACTCATGTGAGGAAACCAGCCCTGGTAGGTTCCATGCACAAGAATACAGGACAAGGAGCAGCTTTTTTCACCTCATGCAACCTCCAGGGATTTCAGCTTCCTTTTCTTGGAGCAAGAAAGTGAAGTGACGTGGGGAGTCACTAGGAACAATGTCTGTCTTACTGTGTTTCATGGAACCTGGAGGTTCCTTAGAGACCCCTCAGAAGCAGACCTAGTGGTCAGAGTAAAAGCTGAGGAGTAAGCTGTGCCTCTCCCTCCCCAGGCCCCATCCCAACCACAGAAGTTCCACTTGCATCAGTTTTATATACCAGACTATTGCATGAAATTACATTTTGACAGATGATTATTCTTAAAAAATATATAAAAACCAACAAACTAGGCCATATCAAGTCCTGGTCCCTTCTCCATTAGTGCAGTAAACAATTCCACCAAGGAAAATATAGGTGTGAAAGTGCTTTGCAAACTGTAGAAGGGCATGCAAATTCTAGGGGCTGTAATTAGGATTATTCTCCCCAGAAGCGGGGATTATTTTGTTTGCTTGCTTCCCGATAGTTTGGTGAGGGACTGAGGTCATTTGCCCCCATACCACAAATGACTCATTTCAAATAACAGACCTGGTGACTTACTGAGTCAAGGTCCACCTTTGGGAATTCCTGGATCACCTCTTTGAGCTCCCCTCTCATCCACTTTCCATTCTAAAGACACCCTGCCCACACCACTGGTCACACAAACCCTTCCCAAACTCTTAGATGCTTGATATCTGTTGTGTGTTGCACCATCTTTCTTTCTAAGCCAAACCATGGGATGTGGGAAACTGGAAAGGAAACTTGAATTGATTTGAGTTGACACGAGATTACACTATTTGGGAAGAATCCAGAATTCAATCAGCAGCCTTGGACCGAGAAAGTCCAGGTCTGAGCATTGGCTTTCCCCCTTATCAGAGGATGACTTAACCTCTGGGAGTTTCGGTAATCCCAGCCACAAAACAAGGGTAATCAGACCTTTCCCATAGTTTATTATGAGTAGTCAGTGAAAGAAGACATCAAGACCATTTCCTGGTGTGCCTGCCTCATGGTGGGACTCAATGACCTCTAAGCTACCTGAGAACAGGGACATGTCCTTCTGGGGTGCCAGCACATACTCAGCTCTCAGTCCCTAACATATACACTGTGCTCCATAAATAAGCATTACATAAATGTATGAGGGACTGTTATTTTTTTTCCCTCCCATCAAAGCGCATAGGGGTGTTTCAGGAATCACATGAACTGGTGGGAGGAAACACATAGACAACTTGACAGTTTCTAAATAAATGCAAGCAGTGACATCCTATTTGGGGTGACTGGTTCAGGGAGACTTGAGTGCAAACAGAGCATTACTCACTCTGGCAGACTAGGGTTCTTTGCTGAAATATTGGGGACTGATGGCTTCTGACTGGTAGTAATAAATCCTGTTCCTCTCGAGCAAAGAAAAGCCAAATCTAAACCAAATGTGAGCAGGAGTGTGAAATGGAAAGCTGGGAGATCTTGGGCTGAATCATGGAATTCAAGGATTACAAATGCAGCAGGTCACAGACTCTTTTAAAGGGACAATATTTAATTATTTCACGGGACAGCTTCCCAGAAAAGGAATGATCTGGCACAGTAAAGAAAAAATGACATTCCAGTTAAACCTTAACTCTTAAAAAAATTCATCCTTAGTTCATATTCACAGTGTGAATTCTACACATATAAATGAGCAGTGGTGAAAAAAGCTCTTGCGAAATAATTATTAGTAAAGTCTAAATAAACCAGTAGCTGGGAAGCAATCTTCATGAAAAATAAATAACCTCTAAGGATTAGTCTCAAGCTAACCAAATGTGATTATAGAGCTGAGCCTTTAGGATTAATAAGGCTTTCAAATTATGGTAAATAAAGAAATTGGTGTGGCTGCTGCACCCTGGAAGTCCCAAGGGGAGAGATGCAACTGGATTTTTTAGATAGATCCATGTTAGCCACAAAATGGGTTTTACGCAGACCTTTGGAGGTTAAAATAGTATGCAGATAGGACAATTCCTAGACTTGGATGATAACAAACTTAGAAATGTGAATTTTTGACGATGAAATTTGAATTAATGGTATGTGGCTTTATGTAGCAAGCTAACTGGAAGGAACACAAGCAAAACAGTCTATATTTTATGCACTATTACTTAAGGGAATGTAATTATATTTATTTTTAATTATATTTATTTTATGTTCATGTAGTAACTAAAATTCATATTTATTCCTCTTCTCTCCACTTCATACAAAGTGGTTAAACATCTATTGGAAGGCTTTAGGAATCTGTTTTGATGAACATTTAAGCATGATTTGTTTTGGACATATCCATGGTTGGTATGTAAATGGTAACTAAGAGCCTTGTAATTATCTAAAAATTGCTTGTTCTCTGCACTCATTTACTATGTGACTACTATGTGCTGAGAACAATTTATACATTCTTGGTTCTGTCATAATTAATCATCACCACTCCTTCACTGCCACTATTGCCATCATCACCACTACCACCTCCACCATCACCACTGCCACTATCATCACCACGATCATCACCACCACCACTACCATTATCCACCATCACCACTAGAGTTATTACTACCATCACTACAACCAACATTATCTTCAACATCATAGCTAATAGCCAGTACTTTCTACATGTCAAGCCTAATGTCATTTAATTGTCACAACAATCCTATGAAAAGTTAATTTCTATTTTACAGATAAGGAAACAAAGTCTTAGAGAGGTTACAAAACTTGTCCAAAGTCACATTTTTATTTCACTTAGCAAATCTTTCCTGGCTTTAAGAGATATGGGGATAGAAAAGTTTAATCCCTTTTTGATTCTTGATGTAGCAAAAATGCTAAATTAATGGAGTCCTAATTCATCAGTCTTTACTAAATTTTATTCTGAATCATGGAAATCAGTTTCTTTTAAGAAGGAAGATTTCCTTTGGAAGCTTTTGTTGGAGTGGAGGAGGTGAAAAGAGTATTGCTAAGGTAGAGAATGGAGAATGTTGACTCTCACAGCCCTCTGACAAATTAGAATCCTAGAATAAGACAACTTTAAATGTGTAGACTCGGACCGTGGCTATTCAATGGACAATTTTAGATTTGCATAGGACTATGCCTTGATTCCTTAGAGTATCATTGTGAGATGGTTGTATATTCTGACTAGAAATAACACCATTTTCTCTTTGCAGCACCTGAGAGTTTATTCAGTGACGATAATACTCACAAGACCCTTTTTGGATTTGTGGCCCAACCCACAAGTTATAGTTCCTTCTCTGAATATTTCATCCAGATTGTGAAGAGCAGCTTCTGGCAGCCACAGTTGTACTATGTGACCCCTACTTCCCATGCCCAGGACTGATTCGACCCCGTAGTAGACACCTAAAGCAATCCTGATCAGTCAGAGTCTTTGTTCCTGACATTTGGGATTAGAGCATGGCTGAAGGTTTAAGACACAAACTTGGAAGCTGTGGGGCAGCAATACACCTCCATGAGGACAGAGAAGCAGGGGAAATAAGAATAAACCAGAAGCTCACAGAAACGCAGGAAATACTTCTAGAGTTCTAACACTTTTCGGGTTTCTTGTTCTAGTCCATTCTTGACACACTTGTGCCTCACAGAAGCCAATGGCAAGAATGCAGTCAGATCCTTCCAATAAATTCCTTTTATTCTGTTTACATTAGCATAAGCTGGTTTCCGTTGCAACCAAAAAGACTTGATGAATATAGGAGAGCATCACACCATTTTACAAAAGAGTAAACAGTGGCTCAAGTGGATGGCGGATGCCCCTACCACTGGGTCTTGAATTCAGGACTTTGACTCTAAATCTTAGGTCTTCTGATTCTGAGGTCTGTGCTCTTTTCACCAGTTGGCCTCACCTATAATCCCTCCCCACATCATCCCATTCTACCCAAAGAATACAGTTCTCTCTCCTTCGTTGTGATAGAAACTAGACATCTCTGATACTTTGCCTACAGTTGTATGTCAATCCAAATGAGTGGCAGGTCTTCCGAGTCCCATCCTCCCAGATCTTCTCCAGAGAGCCCCTGTCTGCCTGAACATGCCTCACAGTCTATTTTCAAAGGGCAAAACCTTTCATCTGGCAGATGGTAACAGCTGCTTCTCTTTAAAACACCCAAAGGGTAGAAATTCTGGGCTCTAACGTACAGGCATAAGGCTCCTGCCAAGTCCTGACTGGGCTTAGCATCAAATCCTGTAGAAAAGGAATAGGTACAGAACATGGATGTGAGGCCAGGCCAAAACGCATTTTATTGCTGGCTACTGTTTCCCAGCCACAGAAGAATGCTGCTGTAGAAGGCATGGCGTGGGTGAGAAAGAGACTTGTTGAACTGAACTTTAATGGGAGAGGATGTGGGGAGGGTGGGCTAGGGAGAGAGAAAGGAAGAGACGTCTTGAGAGAGCTTATGAAGGTGAAAGAAGGCAAAAGACACAGATGTGACTCCATGATGAAGCAATGGAAAATAAAAGTCTTTTAATCATCCAATGGGAATTTAATGGACACCTTCTGTATGCACTACATGGATTCGCCACAGAGGACAAGCCACAGATGAGGAGGACCTGCCCTCTCTCTTCAGAGACTATGATCTAGATCAGAGTTGGCAGATCAGTTGCCTTCATTAGTTTAAGAACTATTTTGTATGCACCTCTATATTCCAGGCACTACTCTAAATTCCAAAAATACAACAGCACAAAAAGACAGACTGGCATTTTATTATCATCGAGGAAGTGGGTGGAGGGTGCAGGCAATTTTAATAAGGTAGACTAGGAAGGTCTGGGTGAAGAGGTAACATTTCAGGCAAATTTACATGAAAAAAAAAGTGCAAAGCAAATGTAAAGGCTTTGAGATTGGAGTATTTTTAGTGTGTTTGAGGAACCAAAAAGGTTAATGTGGATGGAGCAGAGTGAATGAGAAAGCAAGTAGTAGGAAATGAGATTGAAGAGGAAGGTAAAGCCAGCTCTTGTGCACCCTTGCAGGCCCCAGTAAGAAGTTTGGATTTTATGCCGAGTGGAATGGAATGACTTTAGTGGGTTTCCCCTAATTTTCACCTCTAATCAATTAATAATGACTGCTTAGTTCACTGTGATGAGAAAGATTCTGAGGCTTTACAGTTCAATGGATAAAAGTCCATTGATGGATTAATAATATACATCATGTCTGTAGCATGAGGCAGTGGTAACACTGATGATTAATATTTGACATCTCTGATCATGATGGAAGATTAAATTGTATTTGTCAAAGTACTCTGAGTTGTGCTGCAGTAACAACATAAGCAAAGTCTCATTGGTTTCACACAATCACCCAGGTGACTTCTTGCCATGCTAAGTTGGCTGTGGGTTCAGGAAACTCTCTAAAACAACTGTCTTCCATGCAGTTGCTCACTGATCTTGTGCTACCTCTGTCTCGTAACACAATTGCTGCAGCAGGGAAAAAGAATAGTAGAAGGCCTCATGCCAGTGATTAAATGCTTTGTCTCAGAAATAATAGATGTCACTTCTTTTCCCAGCCCATTAGCTAGAGTTAGTCACATGATCCCACCTAAGTGCAAGATGACTGGGGAAGGGTAATCCTTCCATTTGCCTAAAGGTAGATAAGAACCCAATGTGAGTAAGCAGTAAAAATCTAGCATATAAATCGACCTTAGAACAAGTCCAGTAATACTCTAAGGAAGCTTGTAATGCACTGGGTAAGGAGTAGTAAATAATAAAGAAATTCAGAGGCCAGGTGTGGTGGCTTATGCCTGTAATCTCAGCACTTTGGCAGGTTGAGGCAGGCAGATCATGAGGTCAGGAGATGGAGACCATCCTGGCTAACACGGTGAAACCCCGTCTCTACTAAAAATACAAAAAAAATTAGCTGGGCATGGTGGTGGGTGCCTGTAGTCCCAGCTACTCAGGAGGCTGAGGTAGGAGAATGGTGTAAACCCAGGAGGCGGAGCTTGCAGTGAGCAGAGATAGCACCACTGCACTCCAGCCTGGGCAACAGTGCAAGACTCTGACTCAAAAAAAAAAAGAGAAAAAAAGAAATTCAGAGTGGTGATACCAACATGTGTAGCTCAAAAAGTCTCTATAGAGAGGAAGGGTACTCGGGCCAGATCTTGATGGATGAGCAGCGTCCTGTTACTCAATCCTCACCATCTGATGCCCAATAAACGCCCCACTTTCCCTGGCTCAATCCCATCCACTATTCTGCAAGTCACTTTAACTGACTCTTTAGTCTTATTATTTTGGATGTAAGATGATATGCTGTTGAAGAGCATTGTTTATTTGCTGTGGAATTTTGGGCACTGTACTCAACCTCTTTGAGCTTAAGATCCCCATTTAATGCTTGATATAATTATCATGAAAATTAAAGTATATAATGTAATCATGCATCTATTCAACTTATCGAAGAGTTTAGAATATGGCAGGGTCTAAAAAACAGTCATTGTTATTATTGACTCACCCTTCCTTAAAATTATATTTTCCCTTGTCTTTATAGATACAGCTATAGCCTATCTTTCATTCTGCCTTTCAGATTAATTTATCTTTCTGTGTTTTGGGTCCAATTTCAGCTACGAGGTAAAACGGCTTAAACACATACACATTTATCCTGTGGTTACCTAATACTTGTAAGGGTTTCTGGTTAGATAGGATGGTGAAGAGGGATAAACAATTCAGGCTGATAGAGACTCTCCAATTTTCTTTTTTTTTTCTTTTTTTTCTTTTTTTTTTTGAGACGGAGTCTGAGTCTGGCTCTGTCGCCCAGGCTGGAGTGCAGTGGTACAATCTCGGCTCACTGCAAGCTCCGCCTCCCAGGTTCATGCCATTCTCCTGCCTCAGCCTCCTGAGTAGCTGGGACTACAGGCACCTGACACTACGCCGGGCTAATTTTTTGTATTTTTAGTACAGACGGGGTTTCACCGTGTTAGCCAGGATGGTCTCGATCTCCTGACCTCGTGATCCGCCCGCCTCGGCCTCCCAAAGTGCTGCAATACAGGCGTGAGCCACCGTGCCCGGCCAAACTCTGCAATTTTCAATACATGACTTCCGAGTTCACTGAGGTCACTTCCATTCAGTTGGTGGAAGGAAAAAGAGTATGGAGGAGAATTGTTTGTGAGGTTTTTATGGGCTAGACCTGATAGTGGGACCCTCACTTCCATCCACATTCCATTGGCCAGAACCCAGTCGCGTTGCCTCACCTAACTGCAAGGAAAGCTGGAAAGGTTATGTGGTCCAGTTGTGAGTCCAGAGGAAAGAGAAGAACGTGGAGTTCAGGAAGCTGTTGTCTTTGCTACACTTCTCTCTCCATCCCTTGCTCCTCCTCTGAGTCTTTTCCCCTGTTTCTTCTTCTAATGGGGGGTTGTGCATGTTGATGTCTTGGTCTGTACTCATTTCTTCACTTATTTCCTAGGTCCACTGCACCTGTCACACCACAAACAATGATAAAAACGGAGACACCTGGGTGAGCCTCACTCACTGCGCATGCCTCCATCTTCGAAGAGCTCCTGTTCACTGTACTCTGAAATAGACTGTGCAAAACATTAAAACTGACCAAATCAATAAGGTCTTGTTTTCAACATCTCTATGTTTATCTATGAATAGGAAAGGGACTGACGTGAGGTGGGACCATTGGTGATTTTGTTCTGAAATAAGTGAAAGTTTAATGGAAAGATACATATGGCACAAAAGGAAGATAAAATTTTTTTTCTTTTAGAAAAAAAAAGAAAAAAAAACACCTCTTTTTCTTTTCTTTTTGAGTTGGAGTTTCGCTCTTGTTGCCCAGGCTGGAGTGCAATGGCGTGATCTTGGCTCACCGCAACCTCCACCTCCTGGGTTCAAGCGATTTTCCTGCCTCAGCCTCCTGAGTAGCTGAGATTACAGACATGCACCACCACGCCTGGCTAATTTTTTGTATTTTTAGTAGAGACAGGGTTTCTCCATTTTGGTCAGGCTGGTCTCAAACTCCCAACCTCAGGAGATCTGCCAGCCTCGGCTTCCCGAAGTGCTGGGATTACAGGCATGAGCAACCGCGTCCGGCCAAAAACAACCTTTAATTATGGAAAATTTCAATCATAAATACATACAGGTAAAGAGAAAATTATAATGAATTTCCACACAGCCATTACCCAGCTTCTACAATTATCCACTCATAGCCCTTGTTATCTGTCTGTACCTCCTACCTCCTCCCCAACTGCTGGATTATTTTGAAACAAATTCCAAACATCATATACACTTATCTGTAAATATTCAGTATGTATCTCTAAAAGATAAGGGCTTTTAAACCCTTATTTAACCACAATACTATTATTACATTATTGGTAATTTTAAACTCTTTCTACTAGTGGCTTTGTACATGTATTATAAAAATATGTATATTACTTTTGAATTGAGCAATATTATTTTAAAAACATTAAGATTCAGTAAACATCACACACACACACACACACACACACACACACATGTTGAGTGGCTCTGAGATCACCTCTATGGAAACACCCTTGTCCTGAGGACAGTTTTCAACACATGCTAGGTGGACTCGATACATCTGCATTAGAAGTGAAAAGGAAGCCTCTCATGCTCACACTAGTCCTGTGGGAAATGGGGGCTGGGGATCTGGCCCAATCTTACACCCAGCCCACAGCACAAGCATAGTGAGTGGTCCCAACAGGGGACTCTGAATGACACTGACAAAGACGAGAAAGCAGGAGGCAAGGCACCCTATGGTGTCCTTCAGAGAAGGTCCTTCTGGCCCCTCGTCTGCCAGCCAGCTGATGCCCCAAAGTCTACCATCTGAGCATTTAAAGTCTGATCAGTCCCTTTGCCTTTGGGTCAATGAGTTTAGATGATCTTTCCTCCCCAGGATGTTTGACCCAGGGTCGTAGATGTGGGTGAGGGCATGAGAACTCTGAGCACTCAGAAAAAAAAACAAGGGAAAACCCAGAAACACCCAGCTGGCTTTAGCCCCAGTTATGCCTAAGTCTGACTTTCTCAGAAGTAACCAATGTCCTCTGTCCCAGTCCAGATGGAGCTATACCAATGGTGGTTGCTGGTACTCTCCAAGTCATTGCTTGCCCTTGTTCATGGATGGAAAACTTCCTCCATTCTCACCTAGTGTTGTGGGTCAGGGGACATCCAGCATGGGGGAGTCATGTCTCCACAGACAAACCAACCAACAACAACATTTCCGTTGCTTCGCCCAATGGAGAAGCCGCCCCTCATCCAGTGAACAGTGCCTGCTCCCCAAATCATTGCATTCAACAGGTGCCTCCTGCTTTCTCCAGGATGCAGAAGAATGATGACGATTCTACCAATTTCCCAGATATTTTTAACCTTTCTCAACCTCCCCATCCTTTTTGTCTTCTTTTAATTTCTGTTTTTCTCCCACTTTTTCTCCCCTTCTCTTTTTCTCTGTCCTCCTCACTTTCTCATTTTGCATCCTCTCCTTATTTTCCCTTCATTCCTATCTCTTGCCCTAGTTCCCCTCCCACCAGTCAAATATATGACTGTTTTGGGGAGTTTTTTGGTTTAATTTCACTCTTTCTTCCCCACCTTGGTCTTGCTGCTGCCTGCCACCTCCTCAGACTGGGTTTGTCCCTTTTTCTTCCCCCACCCACAGAGTGTCAGCTCCTAGTGGCCTGATTCAGACCTTTTATATTAGGTTGGTGCAAAAGTAATTGCAGTTTTTGTTTCTGTTCTCATCACACGCAATCTGGAAACTCACTTGCAGAGCAGAGCAGATGCTCAGGGGGCAGCCCTCAGGTCACCTCTCCCTTCCCTCTGGTAAGCAGTGGCAGGCTTCTCTGGTCCCCAGTTGGAGAGGAAGGGAGAATGGCAGGGAGCTGTCCCATGGGATGGACTTGGAGGGCACAGGAAATGCTTTGCTGTCTGGGGCAGAGCCTAGGTCTATGCCTATACCGTGGATGGTTTCAGGAAGCCCCATCTCCAAGGGGAGAGAAGTAGAGAATAATTGAAATGCCACTTATGTCATCAGAGAGGCACTGGGAGAAGGGCTTTCTAAGAACATCTCACTTACTGCTGCGCTGGAGGAATGGCTATTGCCACTTAAAGAATCTGAGGATCAGAGAGGTTAAGCCATTTGCCCACACTCACACAGCCAGGAAGCAGATGGAACCTGGTCTCACACCAAAGCCCTGTTCATTGAATTGCAATGAGGGCCTCTGTAGATGGAGGAAACGGACTAATCAATCATACTACCTTTTTCCGTCTTAACCCTCTGAGAAAGTCACTTACCATCCAGCGCCTTAGCATTTGTTTCTCTCTTCCTGCTCTTTACTCATTTACATCTTATTTCCTCTAGAAAAGTTTTTGCTGTATTGTCTTTCCCTCTGCCCTGTCCTGCCCCATGTGCTTCTCTCTCACGTCTCAGTGGTGTCACCAGCATCTTGGGCAGGCTCCTGAATACCTCAGGACACAAGCTGTCTGGAGACAGAGACAGAGTTTTCCTTTTCTGTGGGATGGTTATAGGAAACGGCACTTATGACTTCAGTGTCTGCTGAAAATTTAAAGAGACTCAGGAGAGAAGAATCTAACCTGGCTGCAGCCTTCTTGAAGGTCAGGCTAATATCTGCGGTTTCGATGAGGCTGAGCCACATTTCAGCAGGGACAAAGCTCTCTGCAAGTGTGCCCATTGACCCTGCTCCCTACCAATGAACTAGCCAGTGTACACACATACACGTGATTCTGCCTGCAGTACCCCCTATGGATATGTTCTTCTTTTCTTGACAAAATAGGGCCTCTGCAATGTTGGAAACAGCTTTAGCAAAAAGAAAAATATTCACCTAGACCCCACTTATTATTAAATGTTGTTATTTTTATTTGTGCATATTTCCTTTCAGTGTTGGATCACAAGTGGGCCTGCTTTTTTTATACTGTTGCCATCTGGGTATACATGCCATTTTCTCCTCAGCTTTGTTTCCTTAGCCTTACATTCTATAGTGCTCATTTTTTTTTCAGCTTTATACTTATTTATTATTTACTGGACAAATTCAAAACTTTATTTTTAAATTTTACTTTAAGTTCTGGGATACATGTAGAGAAAGTGCAAGTTAGTTATGTAGGTACACATGTGCCATGGTGGTTTGCTGCACCTATCAACCTGTCATATAATTTTAAGCCCCACATGCCTTAGATATTTGTCCTGATGCTCCTCCTCCCCTCACCCCCCAGCCCCCAATAGGCCTCGATGCGTGTTGTTCCCCTCCCTGTGTCTAGGTGTTCTCATTTTTCAGCTCCCACTTATGAGTGAGAACATGTTGTGTTTGGTTTTCTCTTCTTGCATTAGTTTGCTGAGGATGATGGCTTTCAGCTTCATCCATGTCCCTGCGAAGGACATGATCTCATTCCTTTTTATGGCTTCATAGTATTCCATGGTGAATATGTACCCCATTTTCTTTATCCAGTCTATCATTAATGGGCATTTGGGTTGGTTCCATGTCTTTGCTATTGTAAATAGTGCTGCAATAAATATACATGTGCATGTGTCTTTATAGTAGAATATAATGCTCATTTTTTAATGTAAATTCTGGAATTATTATTTTAAAATTACGTCTAGCATTCTATTGATTTGATGTAGCATAATTTATTAATATAGTTCCATGCTGGTGTGCATTCAAGTCACTTCCTTGGATTACAGAGATATAAAACATAATGGAAAATTTTACACATATAGCTTTTTGCTTCTGTGGCATTATTCCTTCAGAAAACTGATCAGAAATGGGAATGGTTATAAACAGTTTGATTGCAATATGGAGTTAGTATCTAGAGTGGAGTCGCAGTGGCCAGGTTAAAACCCAGGTTTGGCACTTCTAGCTGTGTGACCTTAGACCAACTATTTAATCTTTCTAAGCCTCAATTTTCTCAAATGTAAAACAAGGCTAATATAATACTTAATTCACAGGGTCATAGTGAGGACTTCATAAAATAATAAAATAAAATAACACATATCCAGCATACTTTAGTTGGTACTAATACTACTGCTGCTGTGACTACTACTAACACTATATTTCTATTATTTTACCTTCAGCTGGCTCAACACCAGTGGCTGAAACCCAGAATGTTTCCTAGAGCCAAATGCAGTCTGATTTGCAATAATCCAACAGGTCAAATTATTTTAGAGTCACTTACGCCACTCACTCATCCCGTCCATCCTAGCTCAGAAACTCTATTCTGAGCTCAGTTCTTATATCATCCCTTTTAAGGATCTTATATCATCCCTTTTTAAAGGCCTCTGTAGAATCCCAGTTTTTTTAAATTTTGGAAACCACATCCCAGCTCTCACCAGGAATATGAAAATATCCCTCACATCCTGCAGAAAATATAGTTACATCGGAGCAACAGACTACTAATAGATGGGATGTGAGGCTTTATCCTCACACCATTATGCATACCTCTATTTTTAGTTTTATTAAAACTTACCAATTTTGATTTCATGGTTTGAGTTAGAGTCTAGGGGTCCAAAGAATAATGCCTTCCACATCCCTTCCTGAGTTCAGAACCAAATAAGAAAAATATTTGGTTCTGAACTCAGGAAGAGTTATGGAAGGAATTATATAGGAATCAGATAGACAGAGATTGGAATCTGAGCTTCATGACCAGAAAAAGCTGAAGAAAAGAATACAGCTTAAATATGTAGCCACAAGGGATTCTCTAATCCTGTCCCCTGAAATGAAGTTGCAGCACACCTCATAAAATTTCTAGCTTTCCTCACTTGCCACAGAGTGGATAGCAGCCCGGAATGGACCCTCACTGCAGATGACATATCTGAGAGGGAAAGGGAGGTGCCAGGTGGAAAATGTCCACTTTATCTCCAAACTCACCATCAACAAAGAGAATTTCCTCCTCCTTTTGTGGGGAGAAGGGAGCAAAGGATGGTTAGAGAGGTTTGCAGCTGAAGTTCCTCAACATGAGAATATCAGGCCAGTGTACAACAGGTTTCTTTTGGGACCCAATATTTGATCTCATGCTGACCTGCTAGATATGATGACAACAGGTTCATTCTCACCATTTGGACCTTTGACGGTTTCTAACAGCCATGGTTAGACACACTCTCTCTCTCTCTCCTGGCTTTCCTCATAACACCTCTGGAACAGTGTTGACCTACTACCCAACATGGGGATGCAGGGATGTGACATTTACGTGCTTGAATCATGTTTTCACACCACTTTCTTGTCACTTTATAATTTCATCCACCATTTAATAGGATTATTTCAGCTGCCAAAAACCCCTAAAAAAATCTCAATTCAAATTGGCTCAATCAGGAAAGAAATGTATTATTTCACACCACAAGAAGTAAGAAAAAAAATAGTGTGTTATTATTGACAACTCTGTGATATTGGACCCAGGTGCTTTCTATTACTCTGTTCTGTCATATATGCCCCTGGCTTCATCCTAAGACTGGTTCCCCTTGTGGTCCTAAGATAGATGCTGCAATTCCTAGCATCCCATCCGGGAACCACATCTTCCAGAAGAAGGGAGACCATTCCACCTCTTTTTAAAGTTTTTTTAAATGAAGAAATCTTTCCTAAAATCCCTTTCACACTGTACTGACCACTGGTAAACCAATCTCTAAGCAAGTAGATAGAACTACCATTATGGGAGTTATGAATACATTGGGTGGATACCCTAACAAAACTGGGGCCCTGACGAAAGGAAAAGGGGAGAACAGATGTTGGACAGGCAGACAGCAATATCTGTTGTGCATCACTAGGCATTTGCTTCTGTGGTTATGATTTTAAAGAGCTGGTCTCCTTCTTTCTCTCTTTTCTCATCTCTGAACCTCAATTTCC
This sequence comes from Homo sapiens, assembly GCF_000001405.40. NCBI lineage: Eukaryota > Metazoa > Chordata > Mammalia > Primates > Hominidae > Homo > Homo sapiens. The sequence goes on along the minus strand of NC_000011.10, from coordinate 35,122,526 downwards.
TCATCTGCCTTCTGCACCTTGCAAGGCTGCTGTGATGATCAAGTGAGATAATGTGTATAAAGTACAAAGTGCTGTGTAAACCTTGCATCTGAAGAACATGAGTTTCTCTACCACTGCCAAGGGATAACTCACTCCAGACACTAGTTGTTGTTTGCAAAGTTGGTGTAGTTCTTATAAGACTGGAAACCAGAAGCATCTCATCACTAGGATGGGTTCTTCTGACCTCTATATATAACAAAAAATGTGAATTCAAATTTAAAGCATATTAGGTGAACATGAAAAAATGGTTAAAACCATAACGAGATACCATCTCACAACCATTAGGGTGTCTGCTGTCAAGAAAACCCCGAAACAAAGCAGAAAGTAATAAGTGTTGGTGAGGATGTGGGGAAATTGGAACCCTGTGCATTGCTGGTGGGAATATGAAATGGTATAGTCACTATGGAAAACAGTATGGAGGTTCTCAAAAAATTAAAAATAGAACCACTACATGATTTAAAAATTCAATTTCTGAGTATATTTATCTCCCAAAGGATCAAAAACAGAATCTCAAAAAGATATTTGTATACCTGTGTTCATAACAGCACTATTCACAACAGCCAAGAGGTTGGAAGTGCCCATCAATGGATGAATGGATAAACAAAATTTGTGTTGTAAACAAAATATATACACACACTCATAATGGAATATTAGCCTTAAAAAGGAAGGAAATTCTGACACATGCTGCAACATGGATGGATTTTGAGGACATTATGTTAAAGGAAATAAGTCAATCCAAAAAGACAAATACTGCATGATTCTGTTTACATGAGGTATCTAGAGTAGTCAAATTAATCGGAACAGAAAGTAGAATGGTGGTTGCCAGGGGCTGGGGGAGGAGGAGATGAGGCATTGTTGTTTAATGCACATAGAGTTGAAGTTTTGCAAGATGAAAAACTTCTGGAGATTGGTTGTACAACAATGTGAACACACCTAACACTACAGAATTGTACGCTTAAAATGCTTAAGATGGTAAATTTTGTGTAATGTTTTTACCACAATAATTTCTTTGTAATGAAATAAAAATTTAAAAGTTTGATAACATGCATGCAGTCCTGGATAGTAAGTTGGGAAATAGGCATTCATATCCACCCCACAAACAGATAATGGCACTTTAAATGTGCTTTCTTTTGTGGATAGTGGTTTGGCAATATCTCTCAAAATTAAAGGTAGAGGAAGGAGGAAAATCAGAGGAGCATTATCAAAGAGGAAGTCCACAGGGCTTAAAAGAAGGGCTGTCAAATAATAGGAGCAGGCAGGACCCCATGAACAGCACTGGAATCAGTGTCCAGAGACTGCCCAGCCTCTGCCCAGCAGGTGCCATTTGCAGCCAACATTAGGAAGTTTAAAGCAAAACATCCCTTGCCAGTGGAGAAAACACTGAATCTTTCCAGTACTGAGGGTCTGTATTACCTCTCCTTCTCATGACCATCAGGTAAAAGCCTCCTACCTGTCATGTGCTGATCATCTTGATAGGACTGCCATTTACCCATGCCCTCAGATTTTGCTAAGCCATCTCTTTGACATCCATATTAATCAGGGTAGGCTAGCTAACAAACAGACTCAACATTTTAGGTGTTAATGTAGTAGTAGAACTTTATTTCTTTCTCACACGAGGTTCAATGCAGGTGTTCTTGGTCAAGCAGCTCTCTAGAGCAGTTTTCCTCCAAGCAGTGAGACTCTGGGATTCAGGCTTCCTTCATCTGGTGGGTTTGCCTTGCTTAAGTCCTCCTCAGAGTCTTCCACTGGAACTTGTAGATTCAACCAGACAATGAGAGAGAGACCATGAAAGATTGCATGGGCCATTTTAGGGGCTAGGCTTGGAAGTGGAGTTGTACATTATTACCACCTATATTCCACTGGCAAGACCCAGTCACATGGCAGCACTTGTAGTCTTCTCGTGTGATCATGAAGAAGATGAGATAATAAGAACACATAATGTGTCTGCCATAGTACCTTATATGGATGGACAACCCTCTTTATAACAGCCTGAACACTTAAGCCCCTGAAACAGAGGGAATGTCTGGATACCTGGAGGAACATGGTGATGAGTTCAACATCCCCTCTGTCTCACAGCTATACTTTGTTGGGCTTATAAAAACCATCTTGAAATGCTCCCAGCCCATCCCCAACTGCCACTTGTGTTTATTCATTTTATAATCATAGAAAAAATGAAGAACTCATTTCCACTTGGACAAAACCAACTTTTCTCCTCTTCCACCCACCATAATTTTATTACAGAGACCACATTTCCCAACAATTACAAAGAAACCCTCAAACATACTACAATGAGTAGAGGAATGAGAAACAGATCCCTGCATCAGCTTAGTCCTCTCCATGGAGGAATTCCCCCCAAGCCAACATATCCAAATTCTACCTATTAGTTGGGGCACATCCCAAGACATAAGTAGCACTTATTTCTTCTTTACTTCTTTTCTTTCTCCTTCTTCTTCTTCTTTTTTTTTTTCTTTTTGATAGAGTCTCACTCTGTTACCCAGGGTGGAGTACAGCCTCACACTTTTGGCCCCAAGCAACTCTTCCACTTCAGCCTCCCGAGTAGCTGGGACTACAGTTGCGTGCTACCATACCTAGCTAATTTTTTAATTTTTTGTAGAGGCAGGGTCTTGCTGTGTTGCCTAGCCTGCTGTCAAACTCCTGGGCTCAAGCAATCCTTCGACCTCAGCCTCTCGAAGTGCTGGGATTACAAGACATGAGCCACAGTTCCCACCCTCACTGCTCCAGCCCAGAGAGATCCCATCCCTTTCTGCCTTACTTAACACTGATTGCTTTTGTTACCATCATTTGACTTTTGGTTATCATTTGTATTGAATTTCACATCTTAATGCAACAAATATCTCCTAAGCACACTTTGTTCCAGACTAGGGGATTCAAAATTATAAAGAGAAGCAGCCTCCCTGGAATATGCCATCCCGTGAAGGAGGCAGATGAGCGTGCTGTAGAGTGGATGTTTTGGTGCCATCAGGTGTACACAAAGCATCTTGGAGACTCAGGAGGGCAGAGAGTCCTTCTGAATGAGGATAAGTTGGTGCCTTTGAATCTGGACTTTGAAGAGTGTATAAGACCTTAACAATATAGTTTGGGGAGAGCATTCCAGGTGAAGACAAGAATGAGAGAAGGCACCAAGGTAGGACTGTGAGGGGAAATTTCAAGAGAAGCAAGTTATCCTGTATGGCTGGAGATAAAGCTGGAAAGATGAATATATCCGCTGGGATTCTTTTAGCTGCAAGTAACAAAAGTATGTCTTGACCAGGCTTAGGCAACGGGGAAATGTATTTTACACAATGGAGTCCAGAAGCAGGGGCTTTTCAGAGCAGTTCGGTCAGGGTTCCTGGTCTGTTTCTTGGTTCTTCTCTCAGTTCTCCTTTGACTTCATGGTGGCCATCCTTGTGGTTGCAAGCTGGCTGTCAGCTGCACCTGGGGCAAAAGGTGTTTGCATTGAAAAGCAGAGAGGGAAAAAAAAGTAGTATATATTTCCCAGAAGCCCCAAGCAAACTTCTCCTCAGATCCCATTGACACGAAGTAGCTTAGGACTGCCCATTCCTGAACCCATTACTGACTAGAGACCTACCTTGAATGGTACAAACAAACTGCATGAGCAAAATGCAAGGTCAGGCATCATCCATGGTGATTCCTGTAAAAAGCTTAGGCCAGACTGTGGAAAGCCTTGAAACCCAGACTCAAGAATCTGTGTGAAAAATAAAAGGCATGGGTAGGGGGGCATTGATTGTTTTTCAGGAGAGAAGTAAACAGAATTGAGTTCAAAGAATAATTCTTTGGCTATCTTGATGGGAAATGACCAACCACAGGGGAGTGGATGTGGAAGAACCATGTGCCCCTCCCTTCCTGGCTTCTTCTCATCAAAAGTGGCTCCCAGGGAAGAAGCTGCAACACTCACTCACACCATCTCTAAATGACTGATGAGGTATATGATGCCAGTGGGAATGGAAAGGACGGTTTTGATGGAAGAAACAGTCCCAGACAGTACTGACAGGGTGATTGTGGAGGGGGAAAGGAAAATTATAAATAATTCCAAAGTTACAAGTTTTGATGACTTAAATGTGCAATGCCATGAATACAAATATGGTCATCTAGAGGAGAGAGCGAGGTGGTTTCGAATCCATAAATCAGATGCATGACTAGTAGTCATGGTAATAAATATAAAATTGTGCTGATAGTAGAGGAATAATAATGAAAAGTAAAACCCAGAACAGTTGGTATGTGCCAGGGACATAATAGATACTTAGTAAACATGTGTTGCTCTGAAATATGTGTGTGCATTTGTATACTTATATACATAGAAGATACACATTTACTCCTTATGACAATCCTATTAACTGAGGCACAGAGTGATAGAAGTGAGTTATCCAAAGTCACACAACTGCTAAGTAGTTAAGTTAGAATAAAACTCAAGCATCTGACCCAGGGTACCATTCTCTTAGTCTTTATAACAAGAGCTAACATTCATGAAGCACCTGCTAAGTGACAGTACTTTATATACCTTCTCTTTAATCCTTAAGAGTCATCTCTATAAAGTATACAACATTCCCCCTGTTTAAGAGAGGAGGATTCTGAGGCACAGAGAGGATAAGAGACTTGCCCAGAGTCACAGGTAAGTGGCAGATGTGGGATTCACATTGCAGAAGGCATGGCTCAAAACACACACTCCATGATGCCATGAAAAATATAAATGCCCCCTGGAAACTCAAGATCTGTATCACTCATCTCATCAATGAAATATTAAACTTCCAGCACTTGAAGACCAAAGCTTACACATTTTGGGTACACTGTTGATGAGCATGGGACCTAGCACCTAGATGCCTGGAACTGATAGAATTTCTAAGCCTCTGGGAATCTCTGCATATAAGGAAAAACTGAAACTACAGTGGGAGGTTCCTGCCCAACTGGAGCATGAAGCTTTGAGGAGATGGAAAGGCCAGGTGGATAAGAGGCCAAGCTTAAGAACAGATGTTCTGAGTCCAAATCGTAGCCTAGCAACTCATTGCTAGGGAGCCTTAGGCAAATAGCTTAACCTCTTGGAACTTTTATTTCCCCAGCTGTAAAATAAAGATAATACCAACAAACAGCTCATCTCAAATAAGATGAAGCAAGTAAAGCATTGGGCTCATTGCCTAGAAGATGGCAAAACTTATTACATGGTAGCTGTATTGCTATTATTGTTCTTGCTGTTGTTGTAATTTCTATAAAAGAGTATAGAAGACAAACAGCCCAAGTGCCAGAAAAAAAGATTCTGCTGTTTATACTTCATGATGCTCCGATCCCTCAAAACCTTCACACAGCAGCTGCCTCAGCCTTCTAGTTTCTTGGCAGGACTCTTCACATCAGATTAAGAAAAGCCAGCTGCTATTCCTGGATCACAGGAGGAAGGGAAAACAGAGGTGAGGAAAGCCTGCCCACCCAACGCCCTTTTCCTAGGCCCTTTGCAGCTCCCAGAAGCCCCAGCTCTACCACCTGCCCAGCCTCCCAGGCACTGGCCCTGGCACTGCCTGAGATGTCACTCTCTGCCTAGTCACCTGGTTTGCATTTCAGAGAGTGACCAGTAGCTATTGGCTGCTGCAGGTTCCAGCTGTTAATACCATGACCAAGAAGCAGTGGAGTTGTGAGCTCAGTGCTGGCACAGGACGGCTGCTTCCCTTTCCCAGAGGCAGGGAACAGGAAGGTGGGGAGAACCCAGTGATCTGTGAAGCCCTGGGAACCATAGCATAGGGTGCTGGCTACCCCAGAGAGGTTTCAGATCTTCCAGACCAAGATGCCTAGCTCCTTGGTTAGCCTTGAGCCAGATGCCAGCTTACTGGCTGGGAAGAGATAACTTCCTCTCAGCAGCCAATGCTCCCAGAGGCTTCTGGAATCTGCCTCAGTATACAAGTGCTTAGTCATGGACATTAGAGCTAGCAAAGCCCTCAATCCGACCGTCCCATTTTATAGATAAAGAAACTGAGGCCCAGAGGGATGAAGGGACAAGTTTAAGATGCACCATGAGTCAGAGCAGGGCTGGGGCAGGAACACTTGTGCAAACAATGAGCCTAGGGCTTTTTTTATTACTCAAAGCCACAGAGCTGCCCCCGCACTCCTACCTAAAAAGGGCTGGATCCGGTGATCCTAAAAAGGACTGGATCCGGTGATCCAGTTGGAGCCTAGGACCCCAATACACAGAAATCCTCTCCAAGTTCCACACACCTTTGGAAGAGGACTTGCCAAAAGCAGATGATAGGCAAAAATAACGGCAAAGAAAAGTTTGCTTTGGCATGGAAAGATGTTCACCCTACAGTGTTAAATAAAAAAGAAACAAATTCCCCAAGCAGCATTTATCCTATGATCCCATTTGGATAGGGAGCACACATGCATAGAAAAAAAGACTGGAAAGAGAAGAAAAACAGTTACTCTTAGGAAGCAGGATTACGGGTCATTTTCATTTTTTCTTTTGTCATGCATATTTTCTAAATTTTCTACTTTGAGAGTGTTTATTTCTGAAACAACAATTTTAAAAGGATATAAAGTAAGTAGGCAAGTGCCAGGGTCCCCAGTCACCCTCACTCAGACAGGCTTGGCTTGCCACAGCTCCCAGGACAGACTGCACCCATTGCATAAGGCGGGAGCATTTTTCTTTCCGGTGAAGCCTAAACAAGCTCAGACCTGCAGTCAGGCAGCTGCAGCTGTGGTTTTGCTGCAGTCTGGGAACAGCAGCTCCAGTGCGGGGCACTCCTGGGTCTTCAATGTGCACCAAGGAGGAAAGGCTGGATGCCGGACCCCAGTCTTACAGCTGGCTCAGCTGAGAGTGTGTCTGGCAGGTGGGGGCAGAAGCCAAGTCTGAGGTCTGAGATGCGGGATGTGAAGAAGAGGGAGATAAAGCCTAGTTGGCCCTCAGGAAATCTCCCAGTCCCAGGCCGCACCCTTCAGGAAACCTCCTAGCCCAGTTTTATCTTTCAGGCATGCACCTCTCTCATTTTGCTGCTGCTTGTCCAGTATGATCCAAAGCCCTTGAGACCAATGCACCTTTCTGTGTTATCCCACGAAGGTGATCTGCCATGTGGGAACCTCCCAAACTTCTTTCTGACTACAAGCCAGAGAATCAAGAGTCTTGTCACCAGTACCACAGAGCTGGGGCAATGACAGAACCATTGCCCTATGCCACGTACCAAATGAGTACGAAGCACCTGCCCCATGGTGTGGCTGGGATCTGCTATTTCCTGAAGCAACATGTCCTGAACATCAGCTGATTGACGTTGCTTCCCTAAAAGGCTTGAGTATGGCAAATGCCGTCATCACACACTGAAGGGGCATGTCCATTAGGACGGTTTCCCTCGTCCTATAACAGAGGGTCTTGCAACCTTGTCACACAGTGGTGACAAACACAGAAGGAACAACTAGGTCCAAGAGCATCACAGAGGAGATGGAAAGAGGAACTGAATCCTAGCTCTGCTCCTCACTAATCTGCCTTGTAAGCTGGTGATGGAAGCCCCTGAGCCTCAGTTTACTCATGCATAAAATGAGTCTCAGCAGTGCTGGTAGAATTAAGTTAATCTCAGCCTCTGCATCAGGGGTCAGCCAACTACAGCCCCCTGGTATCTGTCTTGCTGTTTGCTTTTGTATGCCCCTCAAGCACAGAATTGCTTTTTCATTTTTAAATGGCTGGAAAGAATCAAGAGAAGAGAAATATTTCACCATACATGAAATATAATTCTACCTAATTCAAATTTCAGAATCCATAATAAAGTGTTACTGGGACATAGTCATGCCCATTGATTTACGTATTGCTCATGGTTGTTTGTGAACTACGATGGCAGAATTGAGTGGTTTTGACAGAGACCAGGTGGCCCGCAAAGACTAAAATATTTACTGTTTGGCCATTTACAGAAAAAGGTTTTCCAACCCATCATCTAATAGTCCAGCAGAGAGCAGAATGTTAATAAGCATTGCTATCCCTTCTCCTTGGGGCCTCATCATCTGCTTTTTAAGTCCTCTCTGCCAGGCACTTTTTTTTTTGTCATATTTAAAAGAAAGGGTCTTCACAATGATTATCACTGCTTTGAGAGGGTGGAAGAAGAGGGAGAGCCTTCCTCATTGTGATCATCAGGCTTCAAGTTGGAAGACCAAATTGCAGAGGTTAGATCTTCATTCTGCCATCAACTGGTGGTGTGACCTGGAGTAAGTCACTTCACCTCTCTGAGCCTCAGTTTACCTCACCTATAAAATAGGATAATGATAATTGCTAATGTTTACATATCACTTGCTGCATGCTAGACATTGTTCCAATCACTTACATCAGTAGTTTATTTAATCATAGCAGCTCTCTGAGGTAAGTACTATCATCACCCCACTTATGGGCAAAGAAAACTAAGGCGCAGGGAGGTTATGTGGGTGGCCCCGGGTTTCATAGCTAGTCAGAGATGGGATTCAAACTCAGTCTGGCTTCATCACTTGGGTGCTTAAACAACTACATTCTAGAGCCCAGCATACTTCATAGACCTACTGCAGGATTCAACAGATATAAGGAATTGGAACCCTTTTTAAATTTATTTTTTTAATTGACAAGTAAACTTTATGATTACAGCATGATGTTTTGGTGTTTGTATACATTGTGGAATGGCTAAGTCAAGCTGTTTAACATAGGCTTTGTCTCACACACTTACTTTTTGTGGTGAGAACGCTTAAAATCTACTCTCTCAGCAGCTTTCAAATATACAATATATTGCTATTAACTATAGTCACCGTATTGTAAAATAGATCTCTTCAACTTATTCATGTTGTCTCACTGAAACTTCATGTCCTTAGACCAATATTTCCCCAATCCTCCCAGCCCCCAGTCTCTGGTAACCCCATTTCATTTTGTATTTCTATGAGTTCAACACTTTTCTTAGATTAGACGTTGAGTGAGGTCATATGGCATTTGTCTTTCTGTAGCCTGGTTTATTTCACTTAATATAATGTCATCTAGGTTAATCCATGCTGTTTCAAATGAAAAGATTTTCTTCTTTTTTAAGGCTGCTGTGTATTTCATTATGTATATGTACCATACTTTAAAAACCCATCCACGAGTCTCCATGGATACTCAGGTTGATTCCAAACCTTGGCTATTGTGAATACTGCCGCAATGAACATGGGAGTGCAGATAGCTCTGACTGATTTCATATTTTTTGATATATACGCAGTGGTGGGATGCTGAATCTTGTGGCCACTCTATTTTTAATGTTTTGAGGATTCTTCATACATTTTTCAGGAGTCTGAACACTTTTTAGTGACCTGTCAAGGTCTATAGCTATGTAAACTTTTTTCATCTTGAATGAAGAAGGATCAAGTTTTCAAATCCCTTACTAATGGTGGCATTTCCGACAGTGTGGCAGCATCTGAATGGAGAGGCGACATTTTTGCAGCAAGTCCTGCTTGCATGGGTTCTATTTCTTCACTCTCCAGGGGTAAGAGAAAAACAAACAAACAAACAAATCTGCCCTCCTCCCAAAACCAAAGCAATGTCTTATTAAGACCTGTTCTTAGTTAAATATTTGATGGATAAACAGGAGCTACCTTTCTCCTTATGTGGTCAGGAAGCTGGTGACACCTTCCCACCTTGGCTTTGGGTCTCCTCCCAGTCACTGCTCCCATACCATCTTGGTGAGATGGCCATCAGACAGCCCATGCTCCTCAGCCAGGTGTGCTGGTCTTGGCTCTGCTCGGCCCCAAGTTTAACTGAAGCCAAATGCTTCCAGTAGTTTCATTTCTATGCATCTCTGAAACTGTGGCTAAGTTCAGCTAGCCTCCTGCACACGTCTTTTTGGAAGAAACCTGAAACGGGTTGCTCACCCCCCTCCGCCCCCCGCCCCCCGCCCCCATCACCTGCTGGTCCTGCTCCTCCATGTCTCTCAGGCTGGATGAGGCACACCTTTCTGTGGAAGCCGTTTCTGGCTCTCCCTCCAGTCCAGTCCTCATTATTTCTTCTGTACATTAGCATTTGGGCAATAATTGAGTGTTAAGTGTTGGGGCAGGCTCTGTCTTGCTTTTTCGTCTAATTGATCCACTTGAGAATGTCTCGCCTGTGCTACAAGCTCCTGTGTGGCTGGGAGGGCGGGGAGGTGGTACTAAGGACACAACATGCATGGCAGAGGGTTAAGAGCTTGAGCTGTGAGGTCGAAATCCCTCTATCTTGTCCTACTGTGGGATCTTGAGCAAGTTACTTAACCTTTCTTAGCCTCTGTTTTCTCATGGGCAAAGTGGAGACAGCGCCTACCTTGTAGGGTTGTGGTGAAGACTTAGTGAGCAAATACGCAAAGTATGCAAAAAGCCATACTAGTGCTTGGCAACTATCAAATACTCAACAAAAATGTGCTATTAGGATTTCTGTCCCTCTCTACAGGTACCTCACCTTAAGGTACCTCAGGAATGTGATAAAAGCTTTCTCTACATGCTCCTGTAGTGTTCTGCACCAGGGCGCATCCTGGATTCACCCAATATGTACTGAGGGTTTACTAAGTGCCAAGGCACTGTGAGAATGCAAGGATCTCACAGTCAAAAGGAGGGAGGTGAAAGACAGAAACAGATGTGTCCACTGGAACCAGGGGTTAAGTGCTCTGAGACCTGTGGGATGTGGGAAGGGATCTTCCAGCTCTGGAGAGGATGTGGTGGTGGAGTGGGCAGGGAGCAGGGAAGATCTGCCAAGGGAGATAAACTTGAACTGACTCCTGAGTCATATGCAGGCCTTGGAGGCAGGTAGGAGCAGAAACAGTGGCGGAAAGGCATGACACAGCACACCCCATTCACACAGCCCCCTCCATGAGCCTCCATGAGGCCCCGCCTTGGTGCCCAAGCTTAGTGCCCCAGTGCCAGCCCATGGGGGAAGGATGAATGCTCCTTTTGGCATCTAACATGAAGGCTATTGCTGCCCAGGACTGGGCTGGAGGAGGGAAACTCTGTGAATGCCACAGCTGGGAGGGAATGAAGGGAAAGGGAAAGTGCCAGGGACAAGGCCAGGGCCTCTCCTTCCTAAAGTAGTTCAGAGCAACTCCACCCTGAACCAAGCCAATGTGCTACTGGCAGTCAAGAAGGCCCCACAGGAATCAAGAGCAAGGAGGGACCATAATAAGGCCAACCTTCCCAATCCTGCTGCAGAGGGAAAGGAGCCAGCTAGGCCTGACTGGGAGAAGAGATTATTTCAGGGAGGTGCTGCCTTAGCAGATGAATGATGGAATTCCTTCCTGATTGCGGGGAAAACCACCACCACTTCCTCTTGCAAGAATATGATGAGAACAGAGCAGTGGCTACTAATCAGGCCTCCTGGTTCAGAATATGTTCAGTTGCTGTAATGCCTGGGACCACAGCACCTTCTCTTCCAGTTCTTTCTCTCACCAGAGTGAGGCTTGGGGTAGGGGTTGGGGAGCAGAAAGGATTCTGGAGAGGAGAAAGCACTGAAGTGGGAAGCAAATCCTATTCCAGTCTTGACCAGTAGTGTGAACTACACAAGTTTCAACTCTCTCTGGGCTTCCAGTTCCTTATCTGTATAATGAGACACTTACTTTCCCTACTGTTGGCTTGGAGGAATGAATATGATATGAAAAAAATATCAAAATGTCTTAACTGAGAATGGTTGGTTAGTTATCTTCACTAAATGTGACTTCTCTGGAGGTGGGGGCTGCTTTGTCGGGGTCACTGTTGCATGCCAGTGCAGAGCATGCCTTCCTAGCATGTTTGGAGGTGATTCTGCGTGAAACGGCAGGGGTGGGAGGAAGTCATCTTCAGGTTTCATCAAGTCCCCCTTCCCTGTTCCAGCCTTGTGATCACCTACAAGGCCAGAGTGAGACTTGGTCCAGAGTGGCAAAAGGGACCCCAGCGGACAAAAGCAAGGTGCCTAGGAACTCAGTGCTCACTTCTTCCTTCTGTTCTGACCCATGAGGCAAAGAATTATAATTGCTTCTGCAGTAGCCATTTTGCCTTCCTGATTAACAGAAATCCAGTTTTGTCTGAGTTGTCAAAGTTTAGAGCCAAAAGCTTTATTTCTCAGCACCCTTGGATCCAGAGCAGCCATGGGACACAGGTGTAGCCAAAGAAATAAAACATTAGGTTGAGATTCTGGAAAACCTCTGACAGGTTCATCTAGTGTTTTGCCATTTGTTCTTCCTCTTGTTCCTGCCTGGAATGTAGAATTGATTCCTGGAACTTTAGGAGCCATCTTGCCACTATGAGGACAAGAACCATATGCTAAGGATGACCGAGCAAAGGCCCTGATGGCATTTTTGAGCTGCCATATAAGCATGGATCACCTACTTCTGGAAGCATATAATCTCTCATTGTTAAGGTCACTATTTTGTGGGGGACATTCAGGGGGTAGGGGGTGAGTAGAGTTTACTATTATAGACAAGCACAATTATAACCAGTATATCATTTCTTCCAAAGATTGGGTCAGTGCCTTTCTCACCTCTACCCCCACATCAAAGGACTTACCACACAGCATTTTAAGAGCCAGTTACTTGTAGGTACTCCCCACCAACTGCAAGCTCAGCCCATGGGGGACTATACATTCTGCATGATTGCTGTTGCATGCCCCAGAGCACCACAGTTTCTGGAAAACATTAGCTGCTCTGTGCTTTTCTTGAATCCATAAATGAAAGAACACTTTGAGCTCTGATTCCAGCAGATATAGCTAATATTGGGTTTCAGCTGACATGTGGAAGCAAATACTTATTGAGCACCTTGTACAAACATGGCATCATGTAATCTTTCTTTATTTCTGTCCTTTAGTGAGGGGAGTTCTACTGTCCACATTAACAGGTATCTGGAATCCTCTCCCTCTTCTGTAAATAGAGGCATTTCCATACATCCTCTGAAATCTAGGCAGAGGCACCCCAGCCTCAGTTCTTGAATTCTGTGTACCTACAGGCCCATCACCATGTGTAAGCCACCAAAGCTTGGAGCTTACGCCTTCTGAAGGAAGGCCAGAGCTGTTCGTTGGCTCCTTTTAGGCACTGCTGGAGTCGAAGCAGCTGGGACACAGGGTCCCATGTCCTGGGGCTACATAGAGCAGGGGGGCCATGGTCCTGATCCACAAAATCATTTTCCCTCCCAGGCCTCCAGGCCTGTGATGGGTGGGTCTCTGATATGCCCTGGAGGTATTTTCCCCATTGTCCTAGTGATTAACATTTGGCTCCTCAATACTTATGCAAATTTCTGCAGCCAGTTCAAATTTCTCCCCAGAAAAATGGGGTTTTCTTTTCTATTGCATCCCATCAGGCTGTGAAGTTTCCAAATTTTCATGCTCTACTTCCTCTTGAATGCTTTGCTGCTTAGAAATGTCTTCTGCCAGATACTCCAAATCATCTCTCTCAAGTTCAAATTTCTACAGACCTCTAGGGCAGGAGCAAAAGGCTGCCAGTCTCTGCATAGCAAGAGTGGCCTTTACTCCAGTGCCCAATAAGTTCCTCATCTCCATCTAAGAGCAACTCAGCCTGCACTTTATTGTCCATATCACTATCAGCATTTTGGTCAAAGTCATTCAACAAGTATCTAGGAAGTTCCAAACTTTCTCACATCTTCCTGTCTTATGATCCCTCTAAGTCTCTACAAGTTCCAAACTTTCCCATATTTTCCTTTCTTCTTTGGGGACCTCTGAACTGTTCCAACCTCTGCCTGTTACCCAGTTCCAAAGCCACTTCCATGTTTTCAAGTACCTTCACAGCAGCACCCCACTACCCAGTACCAATTTACTTTTCCCAGTCTGTTCTTACACTGTTATTAAAGGCATATCCAAGACTGGGTAATTTATAAAGGAAAAAGTTTTAATTGACTCACAGTTCAACATGGCTGGGGAGCCTCAGGAAACTTACAATCATGGCAGAAGGGGAAGCAAACACGTCCTTCTTCACATGGCAGCAGCAAGAAGTGCCAAATAAAAGGGGGAAAAGCCTCTTATGAAACCATCAGACCTCATGAGAACTCACTCACTATCATGAGAACAGAGCCATGGGGGTAACCAGCCACATGATTCAATTACCTCCCACTGGGTCCCTCCCATGACATGTGGGGATTATGGAAACTAAATTCAAGATGAGATTTGGGTAAAGACACAGCCAAACCATATCACTCTCTGACCAAGAGACATAGGTGGGAAATTCTCCAAATATAACAAGAGGGTTTAGATGCTGGGCAGTGAAACAGAATGACAGATGTCCATTTTGCTAGTTTGAGGAAAGTAAACATTATATAATTTTCATTTCCTTAAAAAATTCTATTTTCACACTGCTATAAAGAAATACCTGAGACTGGGTAATTTATAAAGGAAAGGTGTTTTAATTGACTCACAGTTACATATGGCTGAGGAGGCCTCAGGAAACTTACAATCATGGTCAAAGGGGAAGCAGACACATCCTCCATGGCAACAGGAGAGAGGGGGAGTGTTTGAAGGAGAAACTGTCAAACACTTACAAAACCATCAGATCTTGTGAGAACTCACTCACTATCACAAAAGCAGCATGGGGGAAACCACCCCCACGGTCCAATCACCTCCTACTAGATGCTTCCCTTGACACGTGGGAATTATGAGGATTACAATTTAAGATGAGATTTGGATGGGGACACAGCCATACCATATTACAGACATTTAAAAAATAATAAATTTACATGTTAGCCCCAAAGGAGCCAGTGTTTCCTTGGCATGAAAAGTGCTTTCTCAAAGTCTCTGCATCTTGGGGAGTCCAAAAAAATTGATTGTGTAGCTTTGAACATTTTAATAAGAAACTAGTATGTGGATACTGGGTAGAAACAGTAGACCTTGTCTAGACTAGCTATCTGGATTTTAGCTCATTATATGTTCACTTTTGAAATTTCACTAGTCTTATCTATCAGAGTTTTAGCACAAAACAGATCCAAAGGATGATTGAAGAGAGAGTTAAGAGGAGCTATTACAAAAGTATAGACCTCCTTAGAGGAAGCAAAAAAGAGATAATGAAATACCCTGGGACTAGTAAGGACAGGATCTGTTATGATTATGTCTGAAACAGCAAAGAGAAGAAGCAAACCCAGGAGTCCTGCATCTGACAGAGGGCAAGAAGGTGCTGGTGATGTACCACAACATATACCATCAGTCCGCCTGACTTTAGCACCACAGGGTGGACAGTTGCACACACTTTACCTGAGTCCCACCTCAAGAGCAAAGATAGATTGTTCAAGGTCTTTCTTAATTGTGCTCCTTGGGGCTTTTTCCAAAGGTTCAGAAGGCCACTTAGCCAGCACAGTTACAATGGAGAAATTCGTGGAATATATGTCTCCAGGCGCAAACTCAATAGGTAGGTGGTGGAAGTGAGTGGATAAATGCCCGGAGCCCATCAGCCTCTGTGGAAATCATTCTGGGGCACATGCTCGTAATTCCTCAGGGAGCCCCCAAAGTCACTGCACCCCAATTGCCCACAACAATAACCAGATCATTTATAAACACTCCATTGGCTTTTCTTTCTTCTTTCTGCTCCCTGAGTCAACCTCCAACACTCAAGTTGCACTGCTTTCAAAAGAACCCAAACTAAGACACAGAAAATCAACTTTTGGCAGAGCAGCTCAATCACTGACAATCTGCAGCTGAACCTGAGGAATAAATAACCCTATATATCTCCTTCTACCCTCTGATATCCTGCCAGTTCCTCTCAGAAACCAGAAGTGAAAACATCTCGTTGATGTGGTCTGCAGAGACCAGTCTCCCAGGGCCCAGAGGAAGACCGAGAAGGGCAGAGAGTAGATTGGGAAGAGCAGATAGTAACTCTTCATCCTAGCCCATCTCTTTTGCCTTTTGGCCTCCATAAAGTCCCTCAAACACTGTATCATGTCAGGGTGAGTTCAGTCACATTGTCACCTGCAATCTAAAACTTTAATCACCACCTGTGCTCTTCTTAGAAGGTAGTGGGAGGAAACATAGGCAAAGATATAATTAACATAAAATATGGCTTCTACAGACCCTGTTTCTGTGCCTAGTCATTGGGATTAAGGTTATAACCATACTTTCCTTCTTCTACTACCCATTCTATGCTCTCCATACCTTCTGCCAGCACCCTGGTTGAATATGGTCCTTTACCTGTTGTGACCCAAACTTTCATGGCCACAGGATATGAGTCCTGGGTGGTACTCTCTTAATTCGGAAGCTGTAGTTTTCCAAATGATCGGGATTACAAGACAACACTACCAGAATGCACCTCTGGTCTTTTATGTTTGAAATCTTCCAAATTTGTAACATAGTCCTTGCTTCCATTGCGCAGCAGCACCCAAATTCTTCCTTGGTAATATAGAGACTCTCTTTTCTATTGGTTCAAGGATAGGTGCTCATAATGGCCAGAAGTAGGCTCAGCTTGTAATTTATTAGAACCATGGCTGTGGTCTCTAGAGGAAGCATTCTATCCCTGGGCATTAGGTCCTTCAAACCCATTGAACCAAAGGACACAGGAAACAGAGGCAACAATTTTTAAGTTGGTCATTTCTTAAAATAGTGAGAGGGGACACTTTTACCTCTACCCCTGGTTTTCCAGACTTGTGCATTCTCTGGATACAGGAGATGGTACCACATGTTGGCTGTTAGCCATATACTGCAGACTGTAGGGTAGCACCCAAACCTCACAGGGTGTTGCCTGCCAGAAGCATAGCTGAGGCTTTAGCAGGCTATTGTGCTTTTATTTCTAGGGTGATAGGTAGCCTCTAAAGTGGCTCCCAGTGATCCTTGCTTTCAGGTGTCCTTGCCCTTGTGTATTTACCTCTCCTTGAATGTGGGCTGGACCTAGTGACTTGCTTCTAATGAATAGAATAAGGCAAAAATGAAGGGATGTCACTTTCAGAGATTAAGTTACAAAAAGACTCTGGCTTCTGACTTGCTGCTCTCTCTGACTCTCCTGCTTGCTTGCTCTGATAGAATCCAGTTGCTCTGGTGTGTGTTGCTCTCTGGGGAGGTCTACATGGCAACAGACTGATATCTCCAGCCAGCAGCCAGAGAGGACCTGAGGCCTGCCAACAGCCACATGAGTGAGCTTGGGAGTGCCCACTCCCTTAGTCAAGTATTGAGATCACTACAGCCCTAGCCAATGTTTGCAGCCTTGTGAGAGACCCTGAGTTAGAGGTCAGATGCCTGACCTACAGAAACTGGAAGATGATGTTTGTTGTTTTAAGATGCTAAGTTTGGGGTAATTTGTTATGCAATAATAAACAACTAATACATAAAACCAGCTCCCTATAGATGAGAGGATCAATGGAAACACCAGGGAATTCTGCAGTCATGAGCCCCATGCTACACTTTTGTTGTTGTTATAAAATGAGCTCCTTGCTTGGCACCAATGTTGTGTGGAATATTATGGCAATAGATAAAGCCCTCAATACAGCCCCCAAAAGATAGTGCTGTTAGAAGCATTGTGGGTAAGGAAAGCAAATTCTGCAAGTGACGTAGATATATTTTCCTATGAAGACAAAAACCTTGCCTTCTCCATAATAGGAGGGATCCGATGAAATCATCTTGCCACCAGGTAGTTAGCTGATCCCTTGGGGAATGGTGCCACATTAGAGGCTTATACTGGCTTCTTTTTTGTAGCACAGCAGTCTTAGCAATGAGGATAGCCTGATAAGCCTTGGTAAGGGTGTGTCTTTTTGTTATCTACATGCATAAATACCATCCATTTTTGCTGGCATGAGCACTTTGCACATGGAATACGCACACAGTTATCTAAAAGAGAGACTGACATCTCTTAGACAGATCATCTTGTCCATCTGATTACTTGGTGCATTATCTGCAGTAAATGCCCTCAGTAGGTAGGTATGTACATAGGACACAGTCATCTTTACACTTAGTATCTATTCCCAGGGATCCATATACAGACTTCTCCCCAGACCTCCTTGTCACCAATCTTCCAATTCTGTTCTTTCCATGTCCTTGGACTTCCGAAAGTTCTACCCACCTGGAAGATTCACCACTACCACTATTTTTTAGGGCCACCCCGAGTAGGTCTGTAGGTAGTGGCCAGTACTTCTGGTTGGTTCCAGAACACCTCGTAGACCCATGTATAAACTGGTCTGTCATTGTCATCAGAAACTTCTCATGAACCATAGACATGCTTTCAAGGCAAAGGAGTAAGTGTCACGGGAGTCTGGGCCATCATCTTACCCAGGTTACTTGCGTCATTCAGACCACAGAGGCTTTCTGATATTCTATTTGTATTCTCAGTTGCATATTTAAAACTTTTCATTTGTTCTTTTCTCTATGAATATTCTGTAGGGTTTTCAGAGGTAACAAGCTCACACCATAATTTTTGCAATCATCATTGTCACCAGATTGACTAAAGACCCATGGCTCCTGATCTCAAAACATAATGCCCTTCATGCATATTCCACACCATCCCATGCCAAAATGAGTGATGATTTAAGTAATCGTAAGCCTACTGCAAACCACTATAACAAATGCCCCTCCCCATACCACAAGATACAGTGTGCTTATGTGTGCTTAATGAATGTGTGAGCAATCCAACCTCAGAATCCCATTTTGAGGGGTGTTCTCTGGGCTACTTCCAGTACCATTTACTGTAAGTGTCCTGGCAGGAAACAAATGATTCTTTGATAAAAGGGATTAGGAGAGCCTAATGATGGCATTAGTTACAAATGTATGGCTGGGATAGTAAAGAACGCCGGGGTTGACAAATGAGGAAGCCACGGCACTCCTAAGTCTGAGGAGAATTAGAGCGTGGAGTGGTTCCCAGAACCTAGTAGATCTCTAGCTGTAGGGTCCGCCTGCTTTGGTAGAAGAGCACAGCCATTGCCAACATGAGGTCTGGTGGGAAGGGAGCTGGGGAAACAAATACCCTGACCACACTCTCATCCTGCCTTCCAATTCCCTCCCTTGCTTGCCATTGGTCAAATCCAACCAGAAGTCAGAGGGCATGGAAGGTTGGTGATGCAGTACTCAGATATCAGCCTGCAGGGCCACAGAGCAGATGGGCAGGGTGGCAGCTGTGTCTGGAGGGCAGACAGAGACTGTTCAACAACACTTCTAATCTTACCACAGACTAATTTATCCTCCCAAGAAGTAGGAATGGAGTTCTCCTAAAGGTAAGGAGCTTCATTTCTATTGCCATCTCTGTTGGGCCTTCAGTATCCTCATCTGTTAAAGGATACACTGGATTAAATTTCCTGCTTTCCAAGCTGTCTCAGTACCAGTGGGTATATGGGCCTAGGCAAGAGTGTGCTAAGGATAGAGGTAGACTGTGATTTTTCCTCAAAGATTGTAGATGTGTGGTTGCCATAGCCACACATTTTAATGGAAAAGGTTCATTATTTCTTTAAAAATATATTATGAGATAGAATACAATGTTCTCATGGATTATTGAAATAAAATGAAGTTAGAGTAGTATAGTTTATGTATCAACCCCATTCCCTCCTAGGGAAATATGTCACTGTTATCTGCTACTAGGCCAGTTTTGATGGGGAAGTTTGAGAGGTGTTAGATGATTCCTAGGAGCTCCCCCATATCTGATAGCCAGAGCTTCTTAGATTCAAACTTCTCCCGGCCCTGGGGTTCCATTCTCTGAGAATCTGAATTCATTTTTCAAGTGGTCTCAAGTAGAAAGGCCCACTTAGGAAAGTATGAAGCTCCCTCAAATATGTGTCTGAGTTTGAGTCCACCAGACTTCCAAGTCCTACCTGGAAATACCATAGAGGAATGCGCTGTTGCCCTTTGATTGGCTTTCTAGCCAAGAGCTGCTCCCTGGAGGGCTGCTGGTGCCATGGAGGGCCAAGAGCTAATTAGAAAAGTATAAAGAGTAAAGGGCAAGAAGACACTGGTATCTGGGGGTGTCAGAGCAGAATCAGAAGAGGACACAATGAGATGAAGGTGGGAACAGAGAGAAGCTTGACAGTTGGTCACGGGGGTGTAGAAAGAACCATGGAGATGGTGGAGTTTATTTTAGGATTTGCACTGAATTTTGTTATTGCTTCAACAGTGCAAAAGGAAACAGACCTAAATCCATCCAGCTTACCGTTATTTATTGGCTCTGTGTCAGGTGCTGTGCTAAGAACTAACAAAAGCACTGGGATCAAGATAGATGAGACCTTCAACTTGCAGGCACTTACATTCTAGTGGGGGAGAAAAATAAGGCAGAAAGAAGCAGATTGATTTAGCAATTCTGATACTGATAAGCAGTGTGAATAAAAGATGCTATGGGATAGGCAGGGATTCTTAAACTTTCCCTGTAAAGGCCAGATGGTAAATATTTTCAGCTTTGTGGGCCATCCATCTCTCTTGCGGCCACTCATACATGGAACTCAACTCTGCTGTTGTAGCCCAAAAGTAGCCATAGAAAATGTGTAAATAAATGAGAATAGATTTGACCCAAGACAACAATTTGCCAACCTTTGAGACAGAGCAAGCTGGCTGAAAGTGGGGCAGATGTCAAGCAAGGAACCTTGGGGACCCGAATGGTGAGAGGTTAGTCATGGGTTACCTGGGAGATGAGCATCTCAGGTAGGACAATGAACACTTGCAGAAGCCCTGGTGTGAAGGGGCTCAGCACATTCCAGGGTCAGAAAGAAGACTAGCCATCTGGAGTATATGAAATAAAAAATGAGAGAAGAATGAGGTGATAGCACTGAGGTAGGATGCCACTCAGCCTGGATTCTTTCCAAAATATGACAAGAAGTCACTGGAGGGTTTTAAGCAAAGTGATGACCAGAGAGGCCGGGTTCTTGTCAGAAAGATGAAAGAAAATAGCAATTTTCCATTTACAGAGCACCTAGCTAGTGCTTGATACATGGAAGTACCTAATATATCTTCTTGTGTATTGCTTGATAAAGCACCATGCTTCCAAGGGGTCAGCAAACCCTGGAATAGAAGAGACTCTAGAAGATATCTAGCTCACATCCCCTATTTTATAAATAAGTAAATTGAAACCCAGAGAGGTTAAATGCTTTGCCCACCATAAGTCATCAGATTGGGACTGGAACTCTAAGGAGAGAATTTCAGCAGAGAAGCGTGCCCAGATGACAAAGCATTTGTTGTGTGAAGGACGGGATGATTTTGGATCCAGGATGGTGACATCATGACTATGTCAATATTGGGTCCAGTGCCACGTGGACTCAATGTGAGAGTTCTAGGGAAAGACAAGCTGTGAGAAAAATCTGAGCAGTGAAGATTTCCCATTGTCATGGAGCTGAGCCTTGAGTGCACAGAGGAAGCCATGGGTATGAGGGTTCTCCCAGTGGTTGCCAGCTAAAGAATCATGGCCATGAGACTCCACTGAGGGGCCAGAGGTGCACAAGAGGAAAATGGCAGGCACCAAATGGAAATGGCAAGGGCTTATTTAGGAGCATATTTGACATACCCCTAAGAATGCTCAGAAATACTCGAGTGACACTTTGAGAAGAATTGAAGTATGAATAGCAAGGGGGCCAGTGAAACATGATTTATGGCTGTCTACTGCACCCCACCTTTGCCACCCAGACTCATGTCCTCTCGGGGAAACACAAGTCATGTTTCAAATTCATGTGAGACTGTATGGGCCCACATCCTGTCCATCCAGCAAATATATCTGTCACCACCTTAAGTATTTATGTATTACCTCTTCCAAAATATTGGTTATTCTTGGAGCTAATACAAGTAGTATTAATGACCCCAGGTCTGTCCCAACGCAAGCTTTGGCAACCTAACACACTGGTCTGGGCAGCATGGTGAGAGATGGAAGGGTCTTACCCTTCCTGTGGAATATAGCGGGCTGGGCAGCAAGAGGGCTATGCTCAGTGTCCTGAAGTCAGATTTCAAGAGATGAGGCTCCTACTGAAGCAGGGAAGTGGTGTCTCAGCAGATTAAGACCCTGCTGCCTTGCTGACCAGGACAGCCTTCCTCTCACCCCTGGGCTAGAGCCCTAAAATCTTGTCTCTTGCACAGCAAAGCTATCTTTAATTTTTTTTTTTTTTTTTTTTTTGAGATGGAGCTTTACTGTTGTTGCCCAGGCTGGAATGCAATTGTGCGATCTCAGCTCACTGCAACCTCTGCCTCCCAGGTTCAAGCCATTCTCCTGCCTCAGCCTCCCGAGTAGCTGGGATTACAGGCATGTGCCACCATGCTCGGCTAGTTTTGTATTTTTAGTAGAGACGGGGTTTCTCCATTTTGGTCAGGCTGGTCTTGAACTCCCGACCTCAGGTGATCCGCCCGCCTTGGCCTCCCAAAGTCCTGGGATTACAGACGTGAGTATCATTCTATTTTTAGAATAAAAAACTGCTATGAACCATACTTTCCATTCTTCAGGCCCTTGCCTGGGCTCTATTTCTAGTGACCAACTGGAAAAATAACTCTCATTCTGCACGGACATACTTGAAATTTGGCCAGTGGTTTTACAGTCCACTCCCTGGAGAATTGTTTCCCAAACAATGACAGGGCTGTGCTGTTAGGAGAATGTCATCCTGTAGTTTGCAGAGAGAATGTTAACCTCCACAGTGCCAATCCCACTACCTTCAAGCCACAGGGAAATTTGAATTGTATTGCTTCTCTCAAAGATTCAATTACAGACTTGGGGCTTTCTGCTAATGAAGATGATGAAACTTCAGGTCATGTAAATAAGAAAAGTTGAAGTTCCCAGAAAAGAGTGCTGGCTTTTTCGTGACTTTTTCCCAGTGGCTTCTATTTCTAACGGGAATTATTAGCCATGACAGAAGAGAGGCTTGATCCTTTACTGTAAACAAAACTGGACATGAAATGTGCTGAATGAACCTGAATTCCTCTGACTAGATAGGAACTAAGCCTGCCCTGGGAAAAGGTGGGACGAAGACATGGAAACCGACATTGGTGTAAGCATTAGGAGATGTGTGTTCATAGTGGGACTGGTGATTCTAAAGCCATTAAAGGGCATCAGTTTCGTGAGCCTAATATGATAATTTCATACCTGGGATTATTCAAATTGCTTTGAATGTGCCTCCACTCTTAGGAGATGGAAACTGTACTCTCTTTCTGAGGATGACTCATCTCTAGTACATTCCATGAAAACGGACAATGCCTCTGGAGGGCCTAGGGCCTGGATTTTCAAACTGCAGTGCATGTACCCTTGGGATTACACAGATTATGAAAGATACACAAAGCTTAGAAAAACAGGGTGTATGTTTCCAAAACATTCACTTTACTTGCAGATAGGTGGTTTAAAAAGAATGTTAAGATATATAATGTTTATGACCACTAAGTGTGTATTCAAAGTCTTTTCTGTATTGGGAAAATGTCCTACATTGTGAGCCCTGCCTTCATAAAGTAGAAATTGGAATTTACTATTCCATCCTCTCTTGTAGTTGGGCTATAGGCTGGGTCTTAGGCAGTACCATGCAGATACAACCACTAACGACTTCAATTCGGTCAAAAGCAATATGAGGAAGGAGCCTTGAGAAATCTGTTTGGGCAGCACTGTGACAAAGCCACACGCAGCAGTAGCAGAGCCTCTGTATCCAGTCCCCAGTGGGATCAGAGCAAGCACCTCTGTCTGGGGCAGGCTGGGGTGTTTGTGTCCAAGGCCAACACCACTGGACATTTGCTGGGGCAGCCCCTGGGGACTGGCTTCATCATGTTTCCACTACGTGGGGAACCCAATGCTTTAGATTTCCTAGAAGATCCACGGTTGCCCTTAAATTCTTGTTCTGCCTGAGCTACCTAGAATGGACTCCATTATTTTCAACCAAGAACTAACTGTAAATGATTCACATGAACATATTATGGAATCAAATTCAAGATTCACATGTATCTTAAAAATAAACTTTAAATGTCAATGAAATTTCACATTTGTGTCGGACACTTTGGGCTAAACCTTTTTACATATTTTTTTGCTTGTTAGGGGCATTTTTGGTGGAAACATTTGAACATTTTTGGCC
Source organism: Homo sapiens (assembly GCF_000001405.40). Lineage (NCBI taxonomy): Eukaryota > Metazoa > Chordata > Mammalia > Primates > Hominidae > Homo > Homo sapiens. The sequence continues at coordinate 35,098,613 of NC_000011.10, read as the reverse complement.
TGAGGTATATGCTTATGGAAAAAAAAGGAGAAATAGGGATTAGGTAGGACAAAGGGAAAAGTTAAAGAGAAAAAGACAAATAAGCAAATGAAATATTTGTGCACATAACTGCCTGCCTTAAAAAAGTCCAAGACATACGTTATTCCATGTGATCCTCATGTCAACTTTGTTATTGTTCCCATTTTACAGATGTGGAATCTGAGTTTGCACAGAGAGACTACAGGACTTGGAGGAGAATATGTAGGTGGAAGACAGCAGCGGCCAGTATTGAAGCAGAGCCACCACCATCAATTCTGATTATTTTCCCATTCTGTCACACAATTGGAGAGGTGCTCTGTTTTCTGGTCTTCTTTTTCCAAAGAGTACAGGAAACAAGCTCAGAAAGCAAGAATCAAAGTGTTTCTTTCCTGCCTCCCTATCCAATGTAACTTCTTTCTAAAACTTGGCCCTACCACTCTGTCGAGGTCAGTCTGACAGAGGTGGCTCTGCTTGTACCTTGTGGGGTCACATATTGAAATCCTCCTCCCCTGAACAGCAGGCCTCGATGTCTGCAGCAAAGTGTAAACAGCCTTTGGCCAGATACAGCAGCTCCCGGGGTGCTGCTGGCTTTGGCTGGAGCAACCTTCTCCCTCCTCCCTGCCTGTCCCTCTCATTATACAGTGTCACAGTGGCCTGGGTTTCACACACACCGGCCTTTTTCTGGAGTAACACATGCCAGAGGGGTCTGGAAAAGTAAACTGGGCTGCTGAGAAAACATCATGACTTTTTTAAAAAACATTTTAATTTTTATTTTAAGTTCCAGGGTACATGTGCAGGATGTGCTGGTTTCTTACAAAGGTAAACATATGCCATGGTGGTTTGCTGCACCTATCAATCCATCACCCAGTATTCAGCCCAGCATGCATAGCTATTTTTCCTAATGCTTTCCCTGCCTCAACCTTACTGCTGGACAGGCCCCAGTGTGTGTTGTTTCCCTCCCTGTGTCCATGTGTTCTCGTTGTTCAGCTCCCACTTATAAGTAAGAACATGCAATATTTGGTTTTCTGTTCCTACATTAGTTTGCTGAGGATAATGGCTTCCAGCTCCATCCGTGTACCTGCAGAAGAAAAGATCACAGTACTTTTTATGGCTGCATAGTATTCCATAGTGTATATGTACCATATTTTCTTTAATGCAGTCTATCATTGATGAGCATTTGGGTTGATTCCATGTCTTCGCTATTGTGAATAGTGCTGCAATAAACATATGCATGCATATATCTTTGTAATAGAATGACTTAGATCCCTTTGGGTATACACCCAGTAACAAGGTTGTGGAGAAATAGGAATGCTTTTACACTGTTGGGGGGAATGTAAATTAGTTCAACCACTGTGGAAGATGGTGTGGCAATTCCTCAAATATCTGGAACCAGAAATACCATTTAACACTGCATGACCTTTTGGAAGCCAGTGTACCACCACATGGCCTGTGCTCACTGGGGCAGCTTGAGGCCAGGCTGGGAGAAAGAGAAGAGGAGAGACTCAGCCCTCCTCAGGGCCTGCACCCAGAGCTTCTGGCCAAGGGGCATTAAAGCCCAACTGGCACAGTATGTTCAGACCATTATAACAAAACACCATAAACTGGGTGGCTTATAAACAACAGAAATTTATTTCTCACAGTTCTGGAGGTTAGGAAGTCCAAGATCACTGCATCAGCAGATTTGCTGTCTGGTGAGAGCCCACTTCCTGGCTGATGGACAGCCAATGTGTTGCTGTGTCCTCACATGGCTGAAAAGATGAGTCTCTCTGGGGCCTCTTTTATCTATTTATTTATTTATTTATTTATTTATTTATTTATTTTTATTATACTTTAAGTTCTAGGGTACATGTGCACAACGGGCACGCTTGTTACATAGGTATATACGTGCCATGTTCATTTGCTGCACCCATTAATTAGTCATTTACATTAGGTATTTCTCCTAATGCTATCCCTCCCCCTGCCCCCACCCCATGACAGGCCCCGGGGTGTGATGTTCCCCCGCTGTGTCCATGTGTTCTCATTGTTCAATTCCTACCTATGAGTGAGAACATATGGTGTTTGGTTTTCTGTCCTTGTGATAGTTTGCTCAGAATGATGGTTTCCAGCTGCATCCATGTCCCCACAGAGGACATGAACTCATCCTTTTTGTGGCTGCAAAGTATTCCATGGTGTACATGTGCCACATTTTCTTAATCCAGTCTATCATTGATGAACATTTGGATTGGTTCCAAATCTTTGCTATTGTGAATAGTGCCACAATAAACATATGTGTGCATGTGTCTTTATAGTAGCACGATTTGTAATCCTTTGGGTATATACCCAGTAATGGGATCACTGGGTCAAATGGTATTTCTAGTTCTAGATCCTTGAGGAATCGCCACACTGTCTTCCACAATGGTTGAACTAGTTTACAGTCCCACCAACAGTGTAAAAGCGTTCCTATTTCTCCACGTCCTCTCCAGCACCTGTTGTTTCCTGACTTTTTAATGATTGCCATTCTAACTGGTGTGAGATGGTATCTCATTGTGGTTTTGATTTGCATTTCTCTGATGACTAGTGATGATGAGCATTTTTTCATGTGTCTGTTGGCTGCATAAATGTCTTCTTTTGAGAAGTGTCTGTTCATATCCTGTGCCCACTTTTTGACGGGGTTGTTTGTTTTTTTCTTATAAATTGGTTTAAGTTCTTTGAAGATTCTGGATATTAGCCCTTTGTCAGATGAGGAGATTGCAAAAATTTTCTCCCATTCTGTAGGTTCCCTGTTCACTCTGATGGTAGTTTCTTTTGCTGTGCGGAAGCTCTTTAGTTTAATTAGATCCATTTGTCTATTTTGCCTTTTGTTGCCATTGCTTTTGGTGTTTTAGTCATGAAGTCTTTGCCCATGCCTATGTCCTGAATGGTATTGCCTAGGTTTTCTTCTAGGGTGTTTATGATTTTAGATCTAACATTTAAGTCTTTAATCCATCTTGAATTAATTTTTGTATAAGGTGTAAGGAAGGGATCCAGTTTCAGCTTTCTACATATGGCTAGCCAGTTTTCCCAGCACCATTTATTAAATAGGCAATCCTTTCCTCATTTCTTGTTTTTGTCAGGTTTGTCAAAGATCAGATGGTTGTAGATGTGTGGTATTATTTCTGAGGCCTATGTTCTTTTCCATTGGTCTATATATCTGTTTTGGTCCAGTACCAGGCTGTTTTTGTTACTGTAGTCTTGTAGTATAGTTTGAAGTCAGGTAGCATGATTCCTCCAGCTTTGTTCTTTTTGCTTAGGATTTTCTTGGCAGTGCGGGCTCTTTTTTGGTTCTATATGAACTTTAAAGTAGTTTTTTCCAATTCTGAGAAGAAAGTCATTGGAAGTTTGATGGGGATGGCATTGAATCTACAAATTACCTTGGGCAGTATGGCCATTTTCACGATATTGATTCTTTCTGTCCATGAGCATGGAATGTTCTTCCATTTGTTTGTGTCCTCTTTTATTTCACTGAGCAGTGGTTTGTAGTTCTCTTTGAAGAGGTCCTTCACATCCTTTGTAAGTTGGATTCCTAGATATTTTATTCTCTTTGTAGCAATTGTGAATGGGAGTTCACTCATGATTTGGCTCTCTGTTTGTCTGTTATTGGTATATAGAAATGCTTGTGATTTTTGCACATTGATATTGTATCCTGAGACTTTGCTGAAGTTGCTTATCAGCTTAAGGAGATTTTGGGCTGAGAGGATGGGGTTTTCTAAATATAAAATCATGTCATTTGCAAACAGGGACAATTTGACTTCCTCTTTTCCTAACTGAATTCTCTTATTTCTTTCTCTTGCCTGATTGCCCTGGCCAGAACTTCCAACACTATGTTGAATATGTGTTGAGAGAGGGCATCCCTGTCTTGTGCCAGTTTTCAAAGAGAATGCTTTCAGTTTTTGCCCATTCAATATGATATTGGCTGTGGGTTTGTCATAAATAGCTCTTATTTTGAGATACATTCCATCAATACCTAGTTTATTGAGAGTTTTTAGCCTGAAGGACTGTTGAGAATTTTGTTTAAGGCCTTTTCTGCATCTATTGAGATAATCATGTGGTTTTTGTTGTTGGTTCTGTTTATGTGATGGATTACGTTTATTGATTTGGGTATTTCGAACCAGCCTTGCATCCCAGGGATGAAGCTAACTTCATCGTGGTGGATAAGCTTTTTGATGTGCTGCTGGATTCGGTTTGCCAGTATTTTATTGAGGATTTTTGCATTGATGTTCATCAGGGATATTGGTCTAAAATTCTCTTTTTTTGTTGTGTCTCTGCCAGGCTTTGGTATTAGGATGATGCTGCCCTCATAAAATGAATTAGGGAGGATTCCCTCTTTTTCTATTGATTGGGATAGTTTCAGAAGGAATGGTACCAGCTCCTCTTTGTACCTCTGGTAGAATTCGGCTGTAAATCCGTCTGGTCCAGGACTCTTTTTGGTTGGTAGGCTATTAATTATTGCCTCAATTTCAGAACCTGTTATTGGTCTAGTCATAGATTCAACTTCCTGGTTTAGTCTTGGGAGGGTGTATGTGTCCAGGAATTTATCCATTTCTTCTAGGTTTCCTAGTTTATTTGCATAGAGGTGGTTATAGTATTCTCTGAAGGTAGTTTGTATTTCTGTGAGATCGGTGGTGATAACCCCTTTATCATTTTTTATTGCGTCTATTTGATTCTTCTCTCTTTTCTTCTTTATTAGTCTTGCTAGTGGTCTATCAATTTTGTTGATCTTTTCAAAAAACCAGCTCCTGGATTCATTGATTTTTTGAAGGGTTTTTTGTGTCTCTATCTCCTTCAGTTCTGCTCTGATCTTAGTTATTTCTTGCCTTCTGCTAGCTTTTGAATTTGTTTGCGCTTGCTTTTCTAGTTCTTTTAACTGTGATGTTAGGGGGTCGATTTTAGATCTTTCCTGCTTTCTCTTGTGGGAATTTAGTGCTATAAATTTCCCTCTACACACTGCTTTAAATGTGTCCCAGAGATTCTGGTATGTTGTGCCTTTGTTCTTATTGGTTTCAAAGAACATCTTTATTTCTGCCTTCATTTTGTTTTTTACCCAGTAGTCATTCAGGAGCAGTTTCCATGTCATTGTGCAGTTTTTAGTGAGTTTCTTAATCCTGAGTTCTAATTTGATTTCACTGTGGTCTGAGAGACAGTTTGTTGTGATTTCTGTTCTTTTACATTTGCTGAGGAGTTTTTTACTTCCAACTATGTGGTCAATTTTGGAATAAGTGAGATGTGGTGCTGAGAAGAATGTATATTCTGTTGATCTGGGGTGAAGAGTTCTGTAGATATCTATTAGGTCTGCTTGGTGCAGAGCTGAGTTCAAGTCCTGGATATCCTTGTTAACCTTCTGTCTCATTGATCTGTCTAATATTGACAGTGGGGTGTTAAAGTCTCCCATTATTATTGTGTGGGAGTCTAAGTCTCTGTGTAGGTCTCTAAGAACTTGCTTTATGAATCTGGGTGCTCCTGTATTGAGTGCATATATATTTAGGATAGTTAGCTCTTCTTGTCGAATTAATCCCTTTACCATTATTTAATCGCCTTCTTTGTCTCTTTTAATCTTTGTTGCTTTAAAGTCTGTTTTATCAAAGACTAAGATTGCAACCCCTGCTTTTTTTTTGCTTTCCATTTGCTTGGTAGATCTTCCTCCATCCTTTATTTTGCGCCTATGTGTGTCTCTGCACGTGAGATGGGTCTCCTGATGGGTCTTGACTCTTTATCAAATTTGCCAGTCTGTGTCTTTTAATTGGGGCATTTAGCTCATTTGCATTTAAGGTTAATATTGTTATGTGTGAAGTTGATCCTGTCATTATGATGTTAGCTGTTATTTTGCCCGTTAGTTGATGCAGTTTCTTTCTAACATCAATGGTCTTTACAATTTGGCATATTTTTGCAGTGGCTGTTACTGGTTGTTCCTTTCCATGTTTAGTGCTTCCTTCAGGAGCTCTTGTAAGGCAGGCCTGGTGGTGACAAAATCTCTCAGCGTTTGCTTGTCTGTAAAGGATTTTATTTCTCCTTCACTTATGAAGCTCAGTTTGGCTGGATATGAAATTCTGGGTTGAAAATTTTTTTCTTTAAGAATGTTGAATATTGGCCCCCACTCTCTTCTGGCTTGTAGAGTTTCTGCCAAGAGATCAGCTGTTAGTCTGATGGGCTTCCCTTTGTGGGTACCCCGACCTTTCTCTCTGGTTGCCCTTAACATTTTATCCTTCATTTCAACCTTGGCAAATCTGACAATTATGTGTCTTGGGGTTCCTCTTCGCGAGGAGTATCTTTGTGGTGTTCTCAGTATTTCCTGAGTTTGAATGTTGGCCTGCCTTTGTAGGTTGGGGAAGTTCTCCTGGATAATATCCTGAAGAGTGTTTTCCAACTTGGTTCCATTCTCCCCGTCACTTTCAGGTACACTAATCAAGCGTAGGTTTGGTCTTTTCACACAGTCCCATGTTTCTTGGAGGCTTTGTTCATTTCTTTTTACTCTTTTTTCTCTAACCTTGTCTTCTTGCTTTATTTCATTAATTTGATCTTCAATCACTGATACCCTTTCTTCCACCTGATTGAATCGGCCATTGAAGCTTGTGCATGCGTCATGTAGTTTTCATGCCATGGTTTTCAGCTCCATCAGGTCATTTAAGGTCTTCTATACACTGGTTATTCTAGTTAGCCATTCGTCTAATCTTTTTTCAAGGTTTTTAGCTTCCTTGCGATGGGTTTGAACATCCTACTTTAGCTCAGGGAAGTTTGTTATTACCGACCTTCTGAAGCCTACTTCTGTTAACTTGTCAAAGTCATTCTATGTCCAGCTTTGTTCCCCTACTGGCGAGGAGCTGTGATCCTTTGGAGGAGAAGAGGCGCTCTGGTTTTTAGAATTTTCAGCTTTTCTACTCTGGTTTCTCCCCATCTTTGTGGTTTTATCTACCTTTGATCTTTGATGTTGGTGACCTAGAGATGGGGCTTTGGTGTGGATGCCCTTTTTGTTGATGTTGATGTTATTCCTTTCTGTTTGTTAGTTTTCCTTCTAACAGTCAGGTCCCTCAGCTGCAGGTCTGTTGGAGTTTGCTGGAGGTCCACTCCAGATCCTGTTTGCCTGGGTATCACCAGTGGAGGCTGCAGAACAGCAAATATTGCAGAACAGAAAATATTGCTCCCTGATCCTTCCTCTGGAAGCTTCGTCTCAGAGGGGCACCCGCCTGTATGAGGTGTCAGTCGGCCCCTACTGGGAGGTGTCTGCCAGTTAGGCTACACGGGGGTCAGGGATCCACTTGAGGAGGCAGTCTGTCCATTCTCCTAGCTGAAACACCATACTGGGAGAACCACTGCTCTCTTCAGAGCTGTCAGACAGGGATGCTTAAGTCTGCAGACGTTTCTGCTGCCTTTGTTCAGCAGAACAAAGGTGGAGACTATGCCCTGCCCCCAGAGGTGGAGACTACAGAGGCAGCCGGCCTTGCTGAGCTGCGGTGGGCTCTGCCCAGTTCGAGCTTCCCTGGCCACTTTGTTTACCTACTGAAGCCTCAGCAAAGGCAGGTGCCTCTGAGGCCTCTTTTATAAGGACACTAATCCTATTGATGAGGGCTCCACTTGCATGGCCTAATAATCTGTTCCAAAAGGCCCCACTTCCTATTACCATCACCTAGGGGGTTAGCATTTTGACTTATGAATTTTGGGGGTCATAAACATTCAGACCACAGCACAAAGCCTTTTTGTGAGTAGAAAAGAGAAGGTGGAAAGGAGATGAGGTGAGTGATGATTCGAGTGTCCAAAACTCTAATGTTAATGATTATGTCGACCATTCATTGAGTACTTACCATGTGCCAGACTTTCTGTTGGGCACTTTACACACTCATTCAATCTTCAACAAAACCTGGAGACAAGCATTATTATTATCCCTGAGTGTTTCAGATGAAGACCCTGAGGCTTATGGCATTTGCCCAGAGTCACACGAGTAAAGAATGACAGAGCAGAGATTTGAGAACAGGTCTTGCAGATGACAAAAGCTATATTAGATTAAGTTCTCAGCCTTTTGAGTTCTCATTGGCTCACAAAACAAATAGACCTTCTAGAACAGAGTAGTAGAGTGAATTGAAAATCTTTTGTCTCCCCACAATTGTCTGAGTAGTAAGCATCTAAATCCAAGTGGAACTTATCAGCGAGACTACTGAAGAGTCAGCCACAATACTATCAAATGTGCTTTGAGAGCTCTGCCCATCACTCTATAGTTCCTGTAGGCTCCCAAGCTGTCAACAGATTAACCACATTCATACCAGACAAACCTGGCTGGTTGGATTTTATTTCATTGTCCATACAGCACCAAGTCAACATGGGCTCGTACTATTTCATGCTTACTTTCAAGGCTGGGTTATGGTCTCACATCCTCAAACCCTTTATCACTCTGTAGGTGGAAGGCGGAGTACTTTTTGTCATTGTACATGGATTTTTATTCTCCACACCCCACCCCCCCCACCCCGTCCTAAGGATTATCTTTCTGACTTACACGGGAGGAGTTGAAGTAGATACAGAGAAAATATCATTCTCTTTTGTTTGTCAAAAAAGAAGAGTGACAACTTGGAACCTCCTCTCTTGAGATCAGTTCATCTCTTTGTCCCTCAGCCTCAGAAGAGGAAGTGGGAGAGGGATTTTTCATATAAGACATGCAAATGGCCTAGTTCATAGGTCTCAAACTACATGCTATTTATGGAGCCAGACAGAAATCCAGACCTTCAGGGTTACAAATATGTGGCCAAAGCATACATTGCTAATCAATCACAGCACTTCTCTGCACCAGGATGTGGCTCTCAAATGTTCCTGGAGTGCTGTAAGCAGTCATTACCAATCAATCAAGAGAACACAAGAGAAAAAGTATATTTTAATGTGAACCAGTCCTTGGGCTTCTTATGGATAGGAATCCTACCTTACGAAAACATTTGATCCCCGTTCATCATAACCTTACAAAAAGTAATTGGGATAGCCCTCAATGTTTGTCGAATGCATAAATGAATGAAATAATAAATTAATGTAGCTATTTAGACAGATGTTACTAAGTCTCTTTCTGCTGGGCACCATCTTCTCCTCCTGGGCATTGGCCTTTGACTAAGATGCTGAAATCATCTGGGTGCTGAACTTGTAGTTCGTTCACAGAGATCCTCTCTTGCTACAATAGCTTTTATTGTTATATTTTTGAGATGGGATCTTGCTCTGTCACCCAGACTGGAGTGCAGTGGTATGACCATAGCTCACTGCAGCCTCCAATTTCTGGGCTCCAGCAATTCTCCCACCTCAACCTCCCAAGTCACTGGGACTACAGCTGTGTGCCACCATGCCTGGCTATTACTTTTTTTTTTTTAATAGAGATAGGATCTCACTATGTTGCCCAGACTGGTCTCAAGCTCCTGGCCTCAAGCAATCCTCCCACCTCAGCCTTCCAAAGTGCTGGGACTATAGGTGTGAGCCACCACACCCAGCCTGCTGCAATTGTATTACTTTTTTTTTTTTTACACTAATCTTAATGCTGTGGAGCTTGTGTCTCGGCGTCCTATGGAGCTGTTACTGAAATAATCCTTTCTACCTACACCTTGCCTCTACCTTCAACTGTAAGAGTCAGACAATAATCTATTGAGCCTAAGCCAGAGGACCCATTAGAATGACAGACACCGGGGTGGATTTTCTCAGCCTCTCTATGACTAAGTCTTTGTTCCCTGGCCAGCCTTCTCTCCTTGACTTGTTCTTGCCTTAGGACGTTCTCTTCCTGGAGGCATCACATGCAAATAGCCTTCTAACAGACCTGCCCAGTCAGTTTCTCAGAGCTTCCTAGTCAGATTGAATGTCAACAGTGAACACAGTTTAAGCCCAATCTATGAACCCTCCCTCTTTACCCTTACATGAAGAAGACCATTTTTACTAGTTATTGCTAAGTAACAAACCACTGCAAAATTTAGTGACTTAAAACAACAACCATTCCTTATTTCTCATAATTCAACAGGTCAGCTGGGTGATTCTGCTGATCTTGGCTGTACTTACCTTGTGCTGTGGCCAATTAGTGAAGTGACAGGGAACAACTGGTCTAGAATGGCCTTGGCTGAATGTGGCTCTCTTCCGTGTGCCTCTGACTTCCTTCCAGCAGACTAGCCTGGGCATGGTCTCATGATGAGGGCAGAGCTTAAGGAGGGCAAGCAGAAATGAACAAGTGTTTTTCAAGCTTCTGTTGGAGGTTAAAGCAAGTTACATGACTAAACCAAGAATCAGTGTGGGAGGGTACTACCAAATGGGTGGCCTCAGGGGAGAATGAAAAACTGGGGCTGTTAATGCAATCAACTTACCTCACCATGAAAGGGAATGTTAACTTCATTAGTGCGAAACATTTGAAGTAGACCCAGTCCCTCTCTTATGATGAGGAAAGTTTGAAGCCAGTGACAATCATGCTTCAGATGAATGTCTCAAGATCAATAGCAATGTCACAAGACCTATCGCAAGCCCTCAGTTGAATCTCTCTGGTAGGGAGCCATCTTCGGCCTTGGTCAGTCTGACAGGTGTCCCTCTAGAGCCTCAGCAGAAAAAAACAAGAATGAAGAACTTTCCTGGATAGCCCAAGCTGCCCTTAAAGTCCTCAGTCACTTCCTGTCTGTGTCTCAAAAGTACTTCCTTTGTATCCACAGTGACACAGAAAGCTGACCTCCCATTGTTCCCAGACTCTTAGCTCTTGTACCAAACTTGGCCAGCTCAATCTGGATATCCCTCCACTTGCTTAGATTTCCACAGCAGCTGTCAGCATCTGGTGGTTTTGAAGCTGTGGGTATCGAGAGTGGGAGTGACAATTCATTTTAGTGCTTCCAGAAGCTTACTTCCTATCTGGTTCCAGCTGCAAGTCTTCAGCCAATGCAAGTTCTCAGCCTCAACCTCAGCAGGGAAAACATTCAGAAAACCCAGATGATTTTATCTTTCTGAATGCTTCATTCCCCTCACTCCCCCATGGAACAGCTGAGTCTTATTGGAGATTTGATCATTCTCATGGGATGGGCTTGATGGCCCTGCTAGTGTGATTGTCTGTAGCAAGATTGCAAATTGGCAATCACCTTTTGGGAACCATTTCAATTGGAGAGCTCCAAAAAAAGTAGTTCTTTGTAGGTTTCTCCCTTTTGGGTGGGGTCCTTGGTTCAAAGATAGACAGTAGGATTTTTTAAATCTCCTGTTTCTCAGGTGGGCTGAACCAATTCCGGTTGCCTTTCCCACTAAAGGGAAAAAGATGTCAACTCACATGTCTTCACACAACACTCCAGGTAATGACTTTAATTGATAAGATTTAGCAACTGAAATGAAAACTATTTACCATCTTGGGTCAGACTGGACCAAAGATTCTAAGGTAGAAATGAATAAACCTAGTTGTTATGGGTTGAATTGTGTCCCCCCAAAATTCATAAGTTGAAGTCCTACTGCCAATACACCAGAACATGGCCTTATTTGGAAATAGGGTCTTTGCAAGTGTGATTAGTTAAGACGAATTTATAATGATGTAGGGTGGGCCTGTAGTCTAATATGGTTGGTATCCCTATGAAAAGGGGAAATTTGGGCACAGATACACAGAGGAGAACATCATATGAACACGAAGACAGGGATCTATAAGCCAAGGAATGTAAAAAATCTCCAGCAAACCAGAAGCCAGGGAAGAGTCATGGAGCAGATTCTCCCTCACAGCCCTTAGAAGGAACCAACCTGCAGATACTTAGATGTCCAACTTGTAGACTCCAGAACCATGAGACAATAAATTTCTGTTGTTTACGTCACTCTGTTTGCTGTACTTTCTTTTTTTTTTTGAGACGGAGTCTTGCTCTGTCGCCCAGGCTGGAGTGCAGTGGCGCGATCTCGGCTCAGTGCAAGCTCCGCCTCCCGGGTTCACGCCATTCTCCTGCCTCAGCCTCGCTGGGACTACAGGTGCCCTGTTTGCCGTACTTTCTATGGCAGCCCTAGAAAACTAATAAACAGGTCAAAGGGAAGCTTGCCTATCGGGGGCTGATTATTTCTAGGAGGCTCAAAGAGTCAGGGAATTTTAACAGAAAAGTCAACTTGGAGACCAGATAGACAAGTTCTTTCTCCTCAGCCACACATCCATTTTACAAATAAAGAAACCAGAGCCCAGAGAATTTGCAGGCATTGATCAAAGTCACTATGCCAGCTGAAGTCACAGCTGAGATTTAACTGACTTTTGACTGTCACTTCCCCAGTGCCAAGTTCCATACACACTTTAGTCATTTGCTTACATATCTTTTCCAACTTACCATGATGCCCTGAGAGCAGGGACCAGAGGCTTAGAATCCAGTACGGTGCCTCACCTATAGCAAGCCCTAAGTAATATTTGTTAATAATAGTTAATATTTCCAGCATCTACCACAAGGGTAATCTTCATGCTGACCCAAGAAATGGTGCTTTTCCAAAAGCAACTTCTATAACAGACAGAGAACAAAAAGCAAGGCGTTCTATGTGTCAGGCTGCAGACAGCAACTCCCAGTGGACCTCAAGTTATCAAGACCTGTCCACAGTCAGCCTGGGCCAAGCGGCCTCTTCTGCTGACAATATGGTGCTCAGAGAGGAGTAAGGCACTAAGCAGTGCCTGCCAGCCTCCTTCTAGCTCTTGGCCATCTCCTTCAGCAGCTACAGATTTATGTCTATTCAGCAACTAAGGGTCTTAGATGCTTTTTAAGGGCAGGGACCTTCTAATTTATCTGTATATTTTCCACACTTCCTGGGGCCCAGGGTTTGGCTCACATCATGGCAGATGTCCAATGAATGTGTGTTGGCTTGGGCCAACCTCCTATGCAGTCGCCTAGCTGTTGAGCAAAAAGAAAGAAAAATTTACCAGGTATTAAATTGCTAAAAATATACCTTTGGGGGAAGTGTCATGCCTTGTTATTTGTAATTCTTCCTTCGAAAGCTGGAAAAGTGTTGAAAAGAAATCATCATCAAAATGATACTTTTCAACATGTAAAATGTTTGCCCAAGTTTAAAGAACAAAGCTTCAGTCAGTCCTGTCTCTGCAGGAAAATCTCTCATAAGCCACACTTAAGATGTAAATTTTACATTATGCTTGATTTTCCATAATAAACAAGTGCCTTTAAGAGCTGAGGTGTGAAACCCATTTTATACAGAGAGCAAGTTCTAAAGATCGTGATTATATAAAATATATTTATGAGGTGATGTTATACTGAGATCAAAATCAATTTTTCATGTTTTTATGGTTGGAATGGATTCTGAGGAACAGAATGCAATTTTTAAAAAATTGAACTGATAGGAAATCAGAATTGGCTTCATTCATGACAGTTGTGCAAGACCTGCTTAGATTGGAAAGAGGGAGTCACTAGAGGCCATTTGGTCCAGGACCAGAGCTGGCTACATAATGGTGGGACCTAAGTGCAAAGTGAAAATGAGGCCTAGCCATGGCAGATAAGTTAGTTTCTCCTTCCCACAGCCTGTCTCTCCTCAGTCTATCTACAGTGCCCCTACCAAGGGATTGCAACCTCCACACCAGGACACACCTGTAACCTGGATAGGAGTGGGTGAGAAGGCCCCATCCAGTTGCCTTCCAAATATACCACCGTGCTGTCAGCCCAGGGTAGGGACAACACCGCCATGCTCTTTCCCAGGATGCCATGGTGTGCATACCCAGCAGAGCCTCTCCCCACAACTGCTCCCAGGCCCCTGCAGAGGGTGTGGGCAGAATGTTGCCTCCCTGTCTGCCAACCTGACCTAGTAGTCACCCTGAGGGAAGGGTAGCAAGTGTTGTGGAGCAGAGGGTGGGGAGTAGGTAGAGTGGAGCCTGGGACACTAAGGGCCCAAACAGAGGGTGGGTAGGAGGCAGGACCACGAGTGAGCTCCTTTGTCCCATGAGACTCCTCTTACAAAATACACATTGAAAGATAAATTAAGAATTGTGCATTAAACCCCAAGCAAGGCCTTCTGAGCAGAGGTCCCTGTGCAACTGCACTGGTTACCTGCCCATGAATCTAGCCCTGCCTGGGAAACTTGAATAGGTGCTCAGTTTTTCACGTGGGCTTCAATATATGTGTTGGTCACATGCTGAGTGTGCAGTGATTGGTTCAATGCTATATAAGAGCTTAGCCAAATGGGTTTTGTAAGATCCTTGGTGGGATTGCAGGGGGCAGGGTGTGGTTAGGAATGCTTTTATTCTTGTTTCTCTCAAAGCACTTAGAAAGGTGCTTTTGACCATAATGCACTAACAAACATCTCATGAATCATTTAAGTCACAAATTGAGATGCTGAGAGATAAAATATTCTGCTACACATATGTTGAGTTGAACCCCAGTTTTAATTGCTGCAATATAGACTTTCTGACCAAGAACCTTTGAGCATCTCTGGTAGAAGGAGTAACTTCAAGGGGCAACATGGGAGAGGAGAACAAGAGGGAGGTTTCTGAGAAAGATGTTTGCTGGCTCCGAACCTCAGCTCACATCACTAATACATATGCATCATAAAGCAATTTCGATTCTTCAGGGAGAATTAGGTAATGATGTACACTTGGAAATTATAAGAAAAATGGAGCCACGCCTTAAATGTTGTGGTTAAAGACTAGAAACCACAATCTCTCAGCCCCTTACTATGGAGACTCCTTGAATAACAGAATCCTCTCCTGACTCCATGAATAATTGCCTGGAAGAGGGAGCAGGAGATGAGGGCTTTCCATTCAGTACATTTCAAATACCTATCCGGTGGACTCACTGGCTCCCTGCTGTTTGAAATCCTCATGCCAAACGGCTGCTGGGAGAAGTCACGAAGCCATGGATGGAAATAGCCCTGCCCACTGGGAGAAAGAGGATCTTGGAGGGCTTTCTTCTCATCCTCTTACAAATACCAATGAAGCATTTTTGCACCTCTGCCAGTTGCTATGGATACCAAGTGGGGAACACATGTAAACATTCGGCATGCGTGAGACACGCTGAAGTCCGCCAGTGCAAAGGTGGTTCCTCTTCTCCTTAGCTTGTCCCCTTTCTGGCTTAGAGCTGCAGCTTGCAGCCACATCAGTAAGCCCTGTAGTTTCAGGCCTCAGCGTGGCTCATTTTTAAGGAACTCATTTACCATGAGCCACTGGGAAATACCCTGCATTTAGGGTCATGAGACTTGAATTTGAAATACTTTCCTGCTAGTTCTTTAGTAGTAGAAAGTCACTCTACCTTCCTGAGCCTCCACCTTCTTATCTGCAAAATAGGGGAAAGAAAGAGAAGCAACTCATATGGGGAGGAGAGTGAGAACAAACACGACAGTCTTTGTAAAGATGAAAGCACTTGTCATGTTTGGGAGTGCTATTATGTAATTACTGGATGTTCCCAAAGGCTTGTCAAACTGTGGTTGGATTTTGACATTGGCATGTGGAAACGGGCCTGCTCACCTTCAGAATTAGCAGTTAGACCCATTGCTCCCTCTTAAGGTTTGGTGTGGATGCCTCCACCCCACAGAGAGGTTAGAGGAGGAACCCCGACCTTGGGGCTTGCTACTGGCACCTCTCCTCCCAATTTCTCGGGACCTCTAGGCCAACAGAGGCCCCATCTCACAGCCTTGCATCCAAATGAGAGAACAGCTCAGCCGCCAATCTCTTCCTACCTGTGAAAACACCCAGGTGTTTTCTTGTTACATAAATGCACTCTCAAGGTGAAGAAGGCAGCAGATCCAGCAGCAGGAACCTCCCTAAAGAGGCGCAGAGGGCCGGGGAGTGTGTGTGGACAAGCCCTGGTGTGCATTCCAGAGGCAGCCCCTCTCTGGCTAGCTGTGTGGCTTCTTTTGGGGTGTGGGAGGAGGGGCGGAGCCAAGGATTGGGTGTAGTCCTCCCTGGCTGACTGTGGCTGCCACCCACCATTGGAGAGGTCTCAGAAGGTTCCTCCCTATCTCCGTGGTAACCCGACACTGTGCTGTGGTGAGAAGAGGAAACTGCAAACAGAGTTGGCTCCTTCCACCAGACCCGTTCTGGAGTTCTAGATTTCTGCTTGTGGTGTGTCAATCATTCAATCAGACCTAACAGCAACTCCAGATTGCGGCTGTCAGAAGCCGTGGCCTCGCACGCCTTTCCTGGGCAACACCATCAGTCCACCAGGGCAGGCTGGACACATGGAGCCTGCGACTCTCCCCTGCCCAGTCCAGCCCCTGCTCCACTGCTGAGGAGCAGAACTCACCACATAGGAATGTGAGCAGCCAGGATGGGAGGGAGGTGAAGGATGAACGGGGAGCTGGGGCCAAAGAAGAGCCCAGCCAGGTCAAGAATTCCCCCAGTTCTCTTCCTTTGACACTCCACCCTCCAAATCGCACATCTGGAAGGAAAAATGAATCCCATATATATTTCAGAATTTCCATGAAGTTGAGAAGGGAGCACTATGGCATCTTGCAGGTTTTTCTGTTTTGCTTTTATTTTTATTTTTTTTTTTTTTGAGGTGGAGGCTCACTGTGTCACCCAGGCTGGAGTGCAGTGGTGGAATCTTGGCTCACTGCAAGCTCCACCTCCCAGGTTCAAGTGATTCTCCTGCCTCAGCCTCCCGAGTAGCTGGGATCACAGGCGCGCACCACCACACCTGGCTAATTTTTGTATTTTTAGTAGAGACAGGGTTTCACCATGTTGGCCAGAATGGTCTTGAACTCCTGACCTCAAGTGATCCACCTGCCTTGGCCTCCCAGCATCTTGCAGATTTTTGTTTGTTGTGTTTGCTTTGCCAGGAAAAGGAGGAGGTGAAAAGGGAGCCTTGAGGGAGAGAAGACATGATATTGACCATAACAGGTAGGAGGGGCTGGTGGGAGCTGGGAACATTCATTTGTTTAATTAGTCAATATGATGTGAGTAACCACTAAGTACCGAGCTCTGCTTTAAAGATTGAGGGGACAGCAATGAAGACAACAGGCTCCTGACCTCATGGAGCCTCCATTCTAGTGGCAGAGGCAGGCAATAAAAGTCACACATTTATTTATTTGTTTATTTTTTATTATTATACTTTAAGTTCTAGGGTACATGTGCACAATGTGCAGGTTTGTTACATATGTATACATGTACCATGTTGGTGTGCTGCACCCATTAACTCGTCATTTACATTAGGTATATCTCCTAATGCTATCCCTCCCTCCGCCCCGCACCCCACAACAGGCCCCAGTGTGTGATGTTCCCCTTCCTGTGTCCAAGTGTTCTCATTGTTCAACTCCCACCTATGAGTGAGAACATGCAGTGTTTGGATTTTTGTCCTTGTGATAGTTTGCTGAGAATGATGGTTTCCAGCTTCATCCATGTCCCTACAAAGGACATGAACTAATCCTTTTTATGGCTGCATAGTATTCCATGGTGTATATGTGCCACATTTTCTTAATCCAGTCTATCATTGATGGACATTTGGGTTGGTTCCAAGTCTTTGCTATTGTGAATAGTGCCGCAATAAACATACGAAAAGTCACACATTTATTTAAACAACAAAAATACAAGTAAGTAAACGATATTATGCCCACACACATATACATGAAGCAGAGCAAGAGATAGAGTGGAAGAGGGTTTGCAATCCAAGACAGGATAACCTGGGGAGCCCCCACATTGAAGGTGGCATCTGGGTTAAGTCTTGACAGAAGAGGATGTGAGCTGTCATGGTGTCTGGGGAAAGAACATTCTGAGACCAATCAAGAGTCCACTGAGGCTGAAGCAGTAAGTGAGGGGGTGGGAAGCGGGGAGGCTGGAGTGTGAAGTGCCAGGTCAGGGAGGGCCGTGAGGGCCACTGGGCTTTTCCTCTGAGTTAAATGAGGAGCCATGAGAGTTTCTTAAGTGAAGAATGGACACGATTTGACGTCTCTTTGAGGGTCACTTTGGCTGCTGCATGGAGAATAGAGGCAGCATTGGGATGGGGGGTGCTACTGAATCTCTGAAGTCTGATCTCACTGTCAAAAAGGGGAATTGGAGCTGGGCACGGTGGCTCACTGTAGCTCACACCTTTAATCACTCCTTGACTCTTTGGGAGGCCAAGGTGGGAGGATCGCTTAAGCTCAGGAGTTTGAGACCAGCTTGGGCAACATAGTAACACCTCATCTCTACTAAAATTCAAAAAAAAATTAGCTGGGCATGGTGGCACATGCCTGTAGTCCCAGCTACTCAGGGGGCTGAGGTGGGAGGATCACTTGAGCCTGGGAAGTTGAGGCTGCTGTGAGCCCTGATGGTGCCACCACACTCCAACCTGGGTGACAGAGCTAGACCCTGTCTCCGAAAAACAAAATGCTAGGAGAAGGACAGGAATTGGAAGGTTTTAGAGAGGTTGAAGACCAGAGTGCCACAAAAACTTTCTCTTATGTCATCAGGACTTATAGAAACTGGAAATACTTTGGGCGTATTCAGTGTTAATTAATGGTGTCCACACACCCCCTAAAATCATCTTGGTTATCACCAGTAGTTCATTTCCCACTGCTTGGAAAATGTGGTCTAGAGAAAGGCCAAACGTTCACCACACAGAGAGACTATAAGTTTGTCTGCCCATGGAGGTTCCCTTCAGGTGGCTGTTATTCAGATGTGACTTAAGAGACCCTAAGTTTGACCCTCTTAACTGTATAGCTTGGACTAAAATTCAAAATGTAAGCTGTTTTATTCAAATGCAGTGGGGTCACTAATTGATTTACACACTCTCAGCTGTGCGAAAATATGCAGCTTCTTTGTTTTCTGTAACTGATCAAATCTTCCCTGTGCGCCCTTAACCCTGTGGAGAAACGAGGAAAAGACCAGACTTACACAATCAGGGACTCTTGGTCTCTTCCAGCATCCTTAAGTTCCCCAACGTTAGCACCTGTTTCTGTGGTTGGTGGGAGTGGCATTACCATGTGACTATGCATGTGGGAATCAGGTCCTATGCTAGTTCCCCTGAGGTGATCCTGGTTTAGGCCCTCCATTGGCATGCAATGGCATTCATAGCTGTGGAACACTGACAATGTCATTGTCCCTAGAAATCAAAGTCCTTGATCTCAGTGGCTTCCACTTCCCAACCTCAGGCCTCTACATTTTCAGCAATCTCCCTTGAATTTCCCTGACCTTTACCGGGGCCTGTAGAAACATAGGGAAACATCACATTGCTGTCTATGAAGGTTCCTCTGTCTGCTAATGCTGCACTATCTCATTCAAGCCATGTTAGACATGGTGCCAAGACAAATACGAGGCTTCTCCTAGGTGCTTTCAGCCTCCTCCAGGCCATGTGTGGGAAAGTATGTCACTTGCCCAATGTTCTTAGGTTCCTAATACCTTTCTAAATGCTTCTATAGCCCGCCCCCAACAAGGCTTGACCCCAAGGAAGAGTGGAGGCAAGACCCTAATATTTGAAGGTCACACTCTGCCTCTATTTCTTTCTCATTCACAATCTCTCTTGGGCAGGAAGGACTGAACTTAACCTTTTGTCCCCTTCCTTTCTGGTAAGAACTTTCCCCATAAAATTTATTTTCTTTTGTTAAAATGGCACCCATTCTGCCTGCTTCCTTGAAGCCATGATAGTGTGTCAGATGTGCTCTCAGGGAAGTGGCCAAGAAGGCAGAATTAGGAAAGCAAGAGGTTTCTTGGGTGTGTTAGTTCTGGCTGCTGTAACAAAGTATCACAGACTGGGTGGCTGAAACAACAGAAGTTTATTTTTCACAGTTCTGGAGGTGGAAGTCTAAGATCAGGGTGCCAACATGGTTGGGTTATGGTCAGGGCCCTCTTCTGGGTTGCAGATTCCAACTTCTCATTGTATCCTCCCATGGTGGAAAGAGTGAGAGAGCTCTCTGGGGTTCTTTTTTATAAAGGCACTGATCCCATTCACGAGGGCTGTACACTCATGACCTAATTGTCACCCAAAGTCCCCACCTGCTCATACCATCACCTTGGAGGTTAGGATTTCCACATATGAATTTTAGGGGACACAATCATTGAATCAATTGCATTGGGAAATGAAGACAAAATGGGGAGGAAACAGGATTGGACTGCATGAGCCTCAGAGCTCAGTGCAGACCTGACAAAGTTTTGGCTCACTTCATGGGCATTTCGAAAACAAATATTGCTCATTTGAGGAGCCCCATGTTGAAAGAAATGGCCAAGCCATAGCAACCCCTCTGTGCTCAGCCCTTCTCTGGGGGCTGCCCAAGAAGAGGATGGCCTGAGCTTCAAAGATGAGACAATGCTAAGGTGCAAACAGCTGGGGGCTGCAAACTAACTGCACTCCTTGCAGCTGAACAGCAAGTTCTTTCTCAGAGGGAGATCCTCATGGGTGCCTCCAATACTGTCACAGTGGTGGAAAGGTCACTAGAGAATGATTGGTAGGGAAGAATAATGAAAATCCCATCAGTTTAATGTTTTGTAAGTGTTTTTTACATATTGCCCAAGCTTCTAAAGTCATCACTGAGCATAATCTTTGCCCACATCCTCTTCACTGCAGGTGAGGTTTATCCACTGTGACCACAGCATACAGCAAGTTACACAGATTTGACTTCTCTTGAACCTTTCCCAAGAACATCTTCACAGAATATAGTGCTGGGGTGATGCCTGAAAACTGTGAGCGTGGTTCTCACAGAGTCTTCTGCTTTTTATCTCAGAGATTTCCATGAAACCCAAAAATCTCCATTTTAATTTAATGTTTGGAACCAGGAAGTGCCCAGCAGTTAATCTAAACCTGTTTTTACCACGACAGCATTCTGTGTACTGCCCGGGAAATGTCAATGGTTTGTTGATACCAAATTAATGATGCATATCTCTAGCAAAGAAATCTCCAGTGAGTCAGAAACCAATCGTCAAACTGTCCGTCCACCAGGTTTCCTTCCTGTGAGTCACTTTAAGAAGGTTGACTTCTTCTTTCTCTGTTTCCAGCCTTTCTCTGGTTTAATCAATGAGAGTTAAAGCCATATGATAATTCTTGGAAGTATTGACAGATGTGACTGGTCCTCCCTCCTGGACAAGCCTTGAAATGGAAGTGATAGAGAGGAGATAAAAGGAGGTGGGAAAGGAAGTATGTAGACAGAGGGAGAAACAAAAAGGACCAGAGGTCTAGAAATTTCTTACTGCCCCAGAAGTTAAAACATTGTTTTGTTAATCATAATTTATCACAAAGGTGGCCAGTTTCCGGGGAATTGTGTTGCCAGACAAAATGCGGGACTCTCACTGAAATTAGAATTTCAAATAATAAATAATTTTAGTATAATTATGTCCAATGCAATATTTCAGACAAACTTACATTAAATTTTTTTCTTTGTGTATCTGAAATTCAAATTTAACTAGGTGTTCTGTATTTTTATTTGCTAAATCTGACAACCATATCTGGGAGATATTTTAATTTCCATTGCATTCCTTTTGTTGATGAGTGTGATGAGCTACTATATTGAACAGGAAGTAGAGAGGATAGCGCCATCCTCTTATTGTCTAGCAGAAAGATCCAGGTTATTTGGACTTAATAGTTCCTTACTCCCGGGGCAGTCTCTGCCTTCCCAGCCCCACTCAGCACTGAGCATTTCAAACTGACCATTGGCTGAAACCCATCAGCCAATCATTGAAACTGGACTTGCTGTCCTTGCTTTGGAATTGTCTATATCTATTATAAGGTGCGCTTGGATTTCACAAGCCTAATGAGCCTCATTCTTGCCTTAATCCTCCCCATGTTTGTCCAATCAATAGGAGAGATCTTTTGCTTTGGTTTCTGCCTACACCTGGGGTCTTGGACTCTAGACTATTCAGATACGGTCTTGACATCCTGCCTAAACCTTGCCATTTCCTTCTTTTCAGTGGTTTCCCTCAGTCCATGATAAACATATCACTTGGAAACACAATACTGCCTCCAAGCCTCACCATCTTCTAGGACAGAGGTTGCCAAACATTTTCTGCAAAGGGCTAGATAGAGTATATTTTTGGCTTTGCAAACCCTGCAGTATCTGTCACAACTCCTCAATTCTGTCATTGTAACATGTGAACAGACATGTGCTTCTGTACAGCATTATTTATCAACAAGTAAAGCTGTGACAGGTCACGGGCTATGTTTGGCCCAAAGGCCAAAGTTTGTTAACCTCTGTTCTAGAAGAGCCTGGGATCTTGCCTTTCTTGCCAAAAAGTTTCCACTTAGTTATAGATGCTGGCCTATTAGCTCAAGGAGCCACGTATTGTTTACTTAATGTGATGCTGATGGCCTCTCTATGACTCCATCAGAGACCAGTCCTATTTTACAGCCTTGGCACCCTCATCTTGGGCTTGGCAGTTCCAAGCTTTCTTCTCTTCCCTCTACCAGCTTCTGAGGTCCCTGCATGACTTGCTGATGAGCACACTCAATAAGCCAACTTCTACTTGTTTCCACACTATAGCTAGGATCCACTACCCCCTTTATTTCCACAAATGCTACCTTACTTTGAGACTTAGTTGCCAATGCTTTGGACTGACTCTGTCTCATCTTTGTACTTCTACCTGAGAAATCTTCAACTGCTCATCACTGCTGATATGATTTCCTTTGCATAATAAGTCCATGAAACTACCCACCAGTGCTGAGAATGGTTTGCCTTATAATAGCTATGGATTTAAAGAAAAACCCTTCTCTCTCAAATGATTAAAAATACCTTGCAGTAGGACAAAAAACCAAACAATGCATGTTCTCACTCATAGATGGGAATTGAACAATGAGAACACCTGGACACAGGAAGGAGAATATCACACACCAGGGCCTGTTGTGGGGTGGGGGGAGGGGGGAGGGATAGCATTAGGAGATATACCTGATGTAAATGATGAGTTAATGGGTGCAGCACATCAACATGGCACATGTATACATATGTAACAAACCTGCATGTTGTGCACATGTACCCTAGAACTTAAAGTATAATAAAAAAATATATATATATATATATATACTTTGCCGTAACCAGGCAAAGGCAGCTAGTACACGGCTATAGGGATACATGTAAAGCACTTTAGCATGAAGAAAAATCAACATTATGAATTGTATTAATGTTGTTCTTAAAAGTAATTCTATGACCTTAGAACAACATTGCAATGGTGTGAAAATGCAAAGCAGATTTTATAAACAACCAAATATGTGTATGAATACATCCATTTATTCACAAGGGCAGGACTTTGGAACCCAATGAATGAATTTCAAAAATAAAATTTTAAATTAGGAAAAAACAACAATTTTGAAACCAAGTCCACACAAATCTATAAAAATAATGTTGATTGGCTACTGTTCTGGGTCAGTGTGACCACTTTGACTACACATCCTTTTAAGGGATAAATATTTCTCACAAAAGTTAAGTGCAATTGAAGGCTTTGTAAGCCAAATCCTATTTTAAATACAGAGAGCTCATTTTTTAATTTTGGAGATGTCCTTCCCTCATTTTAAAAAATATGTTTTTAATTTATTTTCTTACATTATAACAGATTTTCAATAACCATTATATCTGTAAATTGAAACTCTCTATACCTTCCTAGGAAGAATCTGTTTTGAGTCATCTGAACTCCTTCAAACCAGTCAACTATTACAATTTAATTATGATGAGTTTGGAAAAAATCTAAAACCATCAGATATTTACATTACTGCCATTTTGTGGTTTGATTATAGCTAATTGCATTACACCAGTGCTCCGCAAATACTGGTGAATTGAGGTAAATGGCTATGTAATAATTGTGATCAATGGTCAAAACTTTATTAACACACTTTTTAACAGGTGTATTTGGGATAATCATTATACAATAGACTGCACATATTTAGAGCATACAATCTGATAAATTCTGACATAAGTATAAACCCATGAAACAATCACTACCTTCAAGATAATGAACATATCCATATACCCTAAAAGTTTCCTTATTCCCCTTAGTAATCCCTCCCTCTCATGTCTTCCCATCCGTTCCCTACCCCATCCCCATGTAACCACTGATCTGCTGTCACTATAGATTAGTTTACATTTTCTAGAATTTTATATAACTGGAATCCCACACTATGTACTCTTTCTTGTCTGGCTTCTTTCATTCAGCAAAACTATTTTCTCCATATTAACGTGTGCATCAATCATTCATTCCTTTTTATTGATGAGTAATATTCCAATTTGTTTGATAACTGTTTTAAATACAGTTTGTGCATTCATCTGCTGATGGGCTTTTGGGTTGTTTCCAGTTTGGGGCTATTAGAAATAAAACTGCTATGAACATTCATAAATAAGTCTTTATATGGTTGTATGCTTTCATTTATCTTAGGTAAATACCTAAGAATAGAATGACTGGGTCGTATGTTAGCTATGTGTTTAACTTTCTAAGACACAGCTGAACTGTTTTCCAAAGTGTTTGTACTACTTTACACTCCCTCCAGCCATATCTGAGAGTTCCATATATGAGAATCCCAGCTCTCCTACATCCTCATTAACATTTGGTATGGTCAGTCTTTTTAAATTTTTGCCATTCCAATATGTGCCCATATTAGGTATTTCTGATGTAGTTAGGCTTTGTGTCCCCACCCAAATTTTATCTTGAATTGTAATCCCCCAGGTGTTGAGGGAGAGATCTGGTGGGAGGTGATTGGGTCATGGGGGTGGTCCCTCTCATGCTGTTCTCATGATAGTGAGTGAGTTCTCACGAGATCTGATGATTTCATAAGTGTTTGACAGTTCCTCTCTTACTCACTCTTCTCTCTCCTGCTGCCATGTGAGAAGGTCCAAGCTTACTTTCCCTTTGCCTTCCAACATGATGGTAAGTTTCCTGAGGCCTCCCCAACCAGTCAGAGCTGTAAGTCAATTAAACCTCTTTCCTTTATAAATTACCCAGTCTGGGGTATTTCCCTATAGCAATATGAGAACAGACTAATACAATTTCATTATTACATTTCATTATGTAATTTGCATTGCCCCAGTGACTAATGGTGTTAAGAACTTTTCCATGTGCATATTTGACTCTGATGTATTCTTTGGTGAAATGTCTTCCCAAATATAAAATTTTTTAAATTAGGTTTTTTTGTTTTCAGTTTTGAGAATTCTTTATATATTTTGGATCCAGATATCATAACTATATAATTTGCAAATATTTTCTCCCAGTCTGTAGCTTGTCTTTTTATCCTCTTAACAAAGTTTTTCACAAAATGTTTTTAAATTGTTGATATAGTCCAGTTTTTAAATGTTTTCTTTAATAGATCATGCTTTTGGAATTCTTTGCCTAGTTTTAGATCCCAGATACTTTCTCTTCTGTTTTTTTCTATATGTTTTATAGTTTTATGTTTTATATTTAAATCCATAATCCATTTTCAGTTAATTATTGTATAAACTATGAGACTGAAGTTGAGGTTGTTTTTTTTTGTTTTGTTTTGTTTTGTTTTGTTTATGCTTATAAGTGTCTGTTTCTGCTTTTTGAAAAGACTATCCTTCCTCCATTGTATTGCTTTTGCACCTTTGTCAAAAATCAGTTGGTGCATCTGTTTAGGTCTACTTATGGGTTCTGTTTCTTTGATCTGTGTGTCTGTCCCTCAACCGTGTCATACAGTTTTGATTACTATAGCCAGATAAATAGTCTTGAATTGGAGTAGAATGATCGCTGCCACCTTATTTTCTTTTTAAAAATTACTTTAATTAGTTATGTTGCCTTTTCATATAAATTGTAAAATAATCTTGTCTGTATTTATAATATATCTTGCAGGGTCTTTGATAGGAATTGGGTTAAACCTGTATGTCAATTTGAGGATAACAGACATCTTTACCATGTTAAGTTTTCTGATGCATGAACACAATATATGTCTGTCCATTTATTTAAGTCTTCTTTAATTTCTTTCACCAGGCTTTTGTAGTTCTCAGCATATACTTCTTGCAAACATTTTGTTGGATTTATACCTAAGTACTTTACTTCTTTTTAGCAATTGTAAATGATATTGTATAGTTACATTTTATATCCACATGCCCATTGCTAGTTTGTAGAGATAAAATTGTCTTTTCTTTTTCTTTTCTTACCTTCTTTTTTTTTTTTGAGACAAGGTCTCGATCTCACCCAGGCTGGAGTCGCAGTGGCACAATTTCAGCTCACTGAAACCTCTGCAACCTCTACCTCCTAGGCTCAAGTGATCCTCCCACTCAGTCTCCAGAGTAGCTGGGACCACAGACGCTTGCAGCCACACCTGGCTATTTTTGTAGAGATGGGATTTCACTATATTGCCCAGGCTGGTCTCAAACTCCTGAGCTCAAAGCCTTCTGCCCACCTTGGCCTCCCAGAGTGCTGGGATTACATGTGTGAGCCACCATGCCCAGCCAAAATGGCCTTTCTATGTTTATCCTGTATCCTGTAACCTTGTTGAACTCATCTTTCAGTTCTAGGAAGTTTTTGTAGATTCCCTCGCATTTTCTACATATACATTCATGTCATAAGGACGATTTTACTTCTTCCTTTCCAATACATAGGCCTTCTATTTCTGTTTTTTGGGGTTTTTTTGTTTGTTTGTTTTTGCCTTAATGCACTCACTAGAACTTACAGTACAATGTTGACTAAAGATGATGTTGAATAAGGGTGGACATCCTTGCCTCTTTCCCAATCTTAGGGGTAAAGCATTCAGTCTTTCACTATTAAGTACAATGGAAGCTGCAGGTATTTTGTAGCTACTCTTTATCAAGTTGAAGAAGTTTCCCTCTCTTTGTATTTTTCTGACAGCATCATGAATGGGTATTAAATTTTATCAAATACTTTTTCTGCATGATTTTAATATGATCACGTGATTTTTCCTTTTTAACCTGTTAATATGATAGACTACATAGATTTTCAAATACTGAAACAGCTTTGCATCTGTGGAATAAATCCCATGTGGTCTAATCTATAATTCTTTTTACATACTGTGAATTCTATTTGCCAATATTTTGGTAAGGGTTTTTGTATTTATATATATGAGAGATATTGGTCTGCAGCTTCTTTGTTTGAGCTGTCTTTCTCTTGTTTTGGATCAGGGTAACACTAGCTTCAGAAAATGAATTAGAATGTGTCCTCCCACCTCACTTTTTCTATTTTATGGAAGCTATTGTTATTCTTTTTCAAATGTTTGTTAGGGTTCTTCAGTGAAATCATCATCAATGTGTGAAAATTTCTTTGAGAGGAACAGTTTTTATTTTAATTACTAATTCAATTTCCTTAATATTTATAGTGCTATTAAATTATCCATTTCATATTGGATAGTTGTGGTAGTTTGTGTTTTTTGAGAATTTGGTCCATTTCATTGAAGTTGTTCAATTTATATATGTAGATTTGTTCATAGTATTTCCTTATTGTCTTATTTATTTATTTATTTTGAGATGGAGTCTTGCACTGTTGCCCAGGCAGGAATGCAGTGGCGTGATCTTAGCTCACTGCAAGCTCTGCCTCCCGGGTTCACGCCATTCTCCTGCCTCAGCCTCCCGAGTAGCTGGGACTACAGGCGCCTGCCACCACACCCAGCTCATTTTTTGTATTTTTAGTAGAGATGGGGTTTCATCATGTTAGCCAGGATGATCTTGATCTCCTGACCTTGTGATCTGCCTGCCTCGGCCTCCCAAAGCGCTGGGATTACAGGCGTGAGCCACCGTACCTGGCCCCTTATTGTCTTTTTAAGTCTGCAGGTTTTATAAAGATTTCTCTTGTTTCATCCCTGATACCAGTCATTTGTGTCTTCTCTATTTTTTTCTTTATCAGTTCTACTAGAAGTTTGTCTATTTTATTGATCTTTTCAAAGAACAAACTGTTTCAGTGATTTTCTCTATTGTTTTCTGTTTTCCTCTTCATTAATTTATGCTCTTTATTATTTCCTTCTTTCTGCTTGCATTGTATTTATTTTTGTTCTTTTTTATTGAGATGTGAGTTTAGATGACTGATTTGAGGACATTTCTCTTTTCTAATGTATGCTTTTAGTGCTATAAATTTCCCTCTCAGTACTGCTTTGGCTGTGTCCCACAAATTTTGATACTTTTTATTTTCATTTTCATTCAGGTAGGTGAACAGTTTTTTAAAAATTCTCTTGAGCCGTCCTTTTTGATCCTCTTTCTAAATAACCAAGTTTATTTAAAAGCTTGTTATTTAGTTTTCAAGTGTTTGGAGAATTTTCTGTAACTTTCTATTGTTTTTAATTTCATTCCATTTGGGCTAGAGAACACACTCAGTATGATTTCAACTCTTTTTAATTTGCTAAATTTTGGAGGTTTTTTTGTTTGTTTGCTTTGTTTTTATACACTAGGATATGGCTTATCTGGCGATATATTCTGTAAACACTTGAAAAGAATTTGTATTCTGCTGATGTTTGGTAGAGGGCACTATAAATGTCAGTTCCATCCTAATGGTTGATGATGTTGAGTTCTGTTGAGTTCTTCTATATCCTTGCCAATTTTTTGTCTAAGTAGTCTATCAATTGTTAAGAAAGGAATATTGCAGTATTCAACTATAATTGTGAATTTGTTTCTTTTTTTTAAATTCTATCAGGTTGGGTAATTTTTATTATTCCCTCTTCTAGTTCACTGATTATTTCCTCTTTCCTCTTTATTCTGCTGTTTAGCTCATCCACTGAGTTTTTACATCAATTATTGTATTTTTCAGTTCTAGAATTTCCATTTATTAACTTATTCCTTCTATTTCTTTGCTGAGACTTTCTATTACTTTCCTGAGACATTCTAGTTTTACATTTTTTCCAAGTATGTTACTAATTGCCCCTTGAAGCATTTTTATGAGGGCTACTGTAAAATAATTGTAGATAATTCTAACATGTCTATCATCTTGATAAGGGAATCTATTGTCTGTTTTTGTCTTGTTCCATTTGAGATCCTGGTATGACGAGTGATTTTTAAATTAAAACCTGAACATTTGTGGTGTTATAAGACTCCGGATTTTATTTAAACCTCTGTTTTCACTGGCTTCCTCTGACATTGCTCTGGCAAGGGAAAGAGGATCACCCCTCATTACTGCCATGTGGGGACAGACGTTCATGTTCCACATTTAACCTCTATGGACACTCAAGGAAGCTCCTCATTACTGCTGGATGGGGGTCAGTGTTTTAGCTCCCCAGTAGGGCTCCACTCATACCTCCCTGGCTGGAAGGAGTATGAATGCCTTATTACCGCATCTCCCATGGCCTCCACTGATGCCATGGGGAGAGTCACACTACTGCTGTGACAAAGGTCCTGACCCTGCACTAGGCATCCTCTGACATGACACTATTTGGGGAAAGAGGGAGGGAGAGGCACCTCTTCACTGCTGGGTGGAGGTAAAACTCCAGGCTCCCACATAGTCTCCACTGATACTGTGGTGTGGATACTTCTTCTCGCCAGGCAGGAATAAAGTCCTGATTTTCTATTCAGCATTTTCTGACACCACCCTGGAGGAATGGTGGAGGTAAGAAATAGTGTTGCGGCCCTTATTACGGCCTAATTAGGGTAGAAATCTAGAGTCCCCATTAGGCCTTTCCTGGTATGACTGGAGATGGGGCTACAGTGTTTTTCTTGTTGTTGTTGTTTTGTTTTTCCCTGTTGTGTCTGACTGGAGTAGAGTGGTTCTGGTCTAAAGGTCCTCTGTCTTGCTGGGCTACTCATTTCCTGTTCCTTGGCTAAAGAGAACAGTCTTTTGTTGTGGCTTTTTTTGTCTGTGCCCATTGGCATTTCTAGGTTATCATCTTCCTTATTCCCAAGTCTGGAATAGCTGCGGCAAAAAGAAAGCCCAGGAACCCAGAGAACTCACCATTGTTTTGTTCCATGGTCCCTAAGTCCCCAGCCAATCTACATTCTTCTCTTCCCTTTAAAGCCTTTCTACCTTTGTTTTATATATAATGTCCAAAGTTTTCCATTGTACTTAGAGGGAAAAAATAGGAAAACATGTATCTACTACATCTTCTTTGAAGCAGAATCACTCATTTGGTTTTTAGGGAGTTATTCTCAAATTTTATTGTGAAAAATAGTATGTTCCAGGAAGCAATATTTTTATCCCAGGTTTAAAAGAATTAAACACTGACTTCTGTTTTCTTTTCTTTTTTTCTTTTTTGTTTTTTTAGCACAGGGTTTCACTATATTGCCCAGGCTGGTCTTGAAACCCTGGGCCCAAGCAATTCTCCCACCTTAACCTCCCAAAGTGCTAGAATTACAAGAATGAGACCCCATGCCCTGTGGAGACTTCTGTTTTAAAAGCAAATAGTTAATTCCCAGTTTACTAATCTTTCTTTTTCTTTAATAAAGCTTTCATATTGGGTTTTCTTTAAGTATTATATACTTGCACCCAAAAAGAAAGTCCTCTCAACAACAATATATTATAGGAGGTCACTTAACAACTGCACAATCACTCCCCAAGAAGGTTCTTTAAAATTAGTTTGACCATTGTGGAAAACAGTGTAGTGATTCCTCAAAGACCTAAAGACAGAAATACCATTTGACCCAGCAATCCCATTAGAATACCCAAAATAATATAAATTGTTCTACCATAAAGACACATGCATGCATTTGTTCATTGCAGAACCATTTACAATAGCAAAGACATGGAGTCAACCTAAATGCCCATCAGTGATAGACTGGATAAAGAAAATATGGTGCACATATAGCCTGGAATACTATGCATCCATAAAAAAGAAACAAGATCATGTTCTTTGCAGGAACATGGATGGAGCTGGAGGCCTTTTTCCTTAGCAAAATAACATAGGAACAGAAAACCAAATGCTGCATAGTTTCACTTATAAGTGGGAGCTAAATGATGAGAACACATGGACATGTAGAGGAGGACAACAGACACTGGCTGGGGCCTATCAGAGGATGGAGGGTGGGAGGAGGGAGAGGATCAGGAAAAATAATTAATGATTATAGGTTTAATAGCTGGGTGATGAAATAATCTGTACAACAAACCCCTGTGACATGAGTTTACCTACATAACAAACCTGCACATGTGCTCCTGAACTTAAAATAAAAGTTAATATAATAATATTAATAATAATAAAACAACTATTGGTAAAATTAAAAAAAAATTTTTATGCGACAACTGTTGTTCAGACATGGTATCTTCCCCAGATGAAGTAGCATGTTCCAACAACAGCAGATTCTAGATGAGATTCTAGGTGGCCAGGAAATACAGGATGATATTTCTATTAAGACACAAAATTGTTCTATAGTGGAACACCAGCCCCTTTGATTTCCCCAAGTGGACTGTCCACTGGCTGCTATATTACCTACGGTGCTCAGCAAGCTCTTTTCCCATTTCTTTGAACAACAGAGCTTATCAGTCCAACCTTGTTCTAATTACTTGCTACCAAGTTTTCACACCTAGAGGCACAACTATGTACTAATGAAACTTTGGGGTCAGATGAATTCAAATTTGAATTGTATGACTGGTCTCACTCCCACTCTTGTGGCTACAGATGGGCTAGATCCCGTGACTGAGCAAAAGGGGAGAGAGAAGGAAGTGGTTTCTCTCAAAGATAAAGTGTTTATCTCTGAGCAGATAAACACAAGCCCATTCTGTACTAGATCAGGAGAGAGAATGTTGGTTCAAATCTAAGATGCAGAGCAGATTGGTTAAGGACTAAGTTAGTTGATCATTTCCTAAGACAAGACTAGGACTAGCAGCAAAGGTGGTATGGATACTATCAAGATGAGAGGAGAAGTGGACAAACTGAAAACTAGTTCAAGGTCTAACTTTACAAACATGACCTACCCACTGTGGCATCCCTCTTACGCTTAGCCTGATGTGCTTTGGTAGAGGAAGCACCACCCATATGAGTCTGCATTTGCCAAAGGTGCCTTAGAAGAAAGGGAAAGAACTGGAACAGGTCAGCAAGTCCCATGCTAATGGGACTCATGTCAAGCTGGGTCAAGTTGGGGTGTAGATCTCTCATTGAGAGCTAAAGCATGGCGCTAAAATAAGGGAAAGCAGAGACATAGAAAACAATCAAATCTGAAGAAACCAGAGGATGGAGATGGAGGCTGTAGAACAAGGTGGGAATGGAAGCTGGTGGAGAACAATAAGGTAAGGACCTGATCAAATCCCTCAACCATCAGGGGTTGCTGCTGGTTTGGATCTGTGGACAAGTAGGACTATAAATGTGGCTTGATCTGGTGGGACAGTTTAAAATACCAGGAACAGGAAAAAAAAAAGATATACTTTGCAGACCACCTTTCTACCCTAACATAGGAAAGCTTTAGTTTCTCTTTCTTATCCTGGTTTACCCAAGAATGAACTTAATGGTTCCATGAAAAGGATATGTACAGTTTCTGTTGATCTAAAATCAAGTCAGGTTTAGATGAAGTCTCTAAAGAGCCTTTGTCACACTTAGAACTCCAACCATGTGAGGTCAGACTGGGGAGGCTAGGGGAAGGCAACTAGGGTTTACAGGTCTCTCTAAAATATGATCACTTACCCTTTCCTCACCATGCAGAGCCTTAGTTACCAAAGAGTAGGAAAATGGCCACGTGTCTGGGTTGCCACAGAAGAGGATTTGTGGCTTGAATCCTATTAAGAGGAACTGAGAAGTCATAAGCCTATGGTATAGATTTCATTCTCTTAGTCCAGGGAAAACAATTTAAGAAGGGCAAGTATCAACCTCCATGCCTTTATTTGGACCTCCCAACATCTCTTTCAAGTAGATGACATGATCCACTTCTCCCCAAACAAGTGCCTAATAATGAGCTTTAGACCATTCTCTCAGGTACAATGTCACAAAGACCTCCTCAGACATGGAAAAGGGGATGGGGCAAGGAGAGAACAGCTGTTCTGTAGACAACCAGTAGTGCCTGTTGCTGGGGCGATTGGGCTGTCTTTTTGATTTATTTCCCGAATAGAGGCAAACTCACATCATTTGAAAGGCATCTTAGGAGATGAAATCTGCCTCCATGAGATCATGGATATTGTTGATGTCCTAGCTCAGGAGTAAGCAATTCCATTTTAAACTCTTGCTGTGATGTGACTCTCCAAAAAACATTTCCTAAGTTACATGTAAAAGCAAGTCATTAAAAAAATGCAGCTTGCTTTTATTTCTATGTTTAGCCTGCAGTTCATCAAACCTCACCCTCTGGGCTAGCAGCCCGCAAATATCTCATAGCACTTACTAAAGTGTGTAATGATTTGATGAATTTGTTTATTTCTCTGCCTCTCCCTCCACCTTTACTGTAAGATTCATCTGTCTTGTTCACCATTCTATCTGAAGCATGTAGCACCAAACCTAGCCATAGTAGTCATTCAATAAAAAGGCTGAATGAATAAGGGAATGAATGAAAATTTTGGATTGGTAAATTGCAAGGCCTCTCTTTAGAGCAGAAGAGACACCTAGCACTAGCAACATCTTTACCAAATTTTTATTGAACACAAAGGACTATTTTTAATGCTTGCCCCTGTAGGTCCTGCTGAGGATCCCTGGTGCCCAGTAGGGAACACCGTGAGGAGGAGGATTAAGAAAGGCACCCTTTCCACTGATTTGCATCGCCATTTGTACATGGAGTTTGGCTACAGCAAAATCCGTTGCTATCTCACCAGCTACAAGAAGCAAAGAACGAATTGCAATTCATTTTTGTGCTCTAGGACCCGGTTGAGGGTAAGAGAAAAGAAGTCTTGTCTTTCCAATTCTCCAGGGATCTCAAACTCCTCATTTTTTATTGCTGTGTACCAAGCTCCCAGAGGTGACTTAAAATGAGCTCCATCCTGAAACAGATGAAACACTGGCTGCATAAGTACTGCCCCAGCGTTAAGATGTGTGGTCTTTGGACCACTTTTCCTCCTGGGCAGAAAAGCAGAGTAGAGTCCTAGTGAATGTGAGAGGATGAAAGAATGGGAGGGCTTCAGAAAGGTACTAGCCAATCAAGGCTCTGATGATCATGGAATAGTTATATCTGTTCAGAAAGAAGGAAAAAGGGATCAAGCTGAGAGTAGGAGGGCATGGGTAGGGAAACCAAGTGTATGGAAGAATCCTTTAAAAGAATGACAACGAAGGTGGGGAAATGAGTGAGTATCTGGACAGCAAGCCGGGGGACCAGAAAGTTGAGTACAGTAAATGCTATCTCTGCTACTGTTGTTTCTCCAGCTTCTCTGCTCTTCCGTGAGTGCTTTCTGTGGCTGGGATTCCCTCAGGTGAGTCCTGGGGAGCCTGAGTGGTGACACGAAAGCTGAGGAAGGGAGAAAACTGGGAGGTATTTCAAGAGCTTCTCCCCCCACGCTCTTGCTTCATTTCCTCCTGCAATCTAGTTTCAGGACTAAAGATCCACTGAGGAAAAAGATTCAGATTGCCGTCTTCCAGGGCCCCAGACAGCCAATTTTTCTCTTTGCACAAACCATAAGATCCTGTATGGTTTTTATTAACCTCCCAGCAGGGGCCCTGCTCATTTGATGATTCATTATAAGGGGAATGGAAATCGTTAGAAAAGATTTTCAGCTAATGGGTAAAATGTGTGGGGCAGCTCCTAGCCAGGCTGCTGCTGCCTCAGAGTTCACTTTCTTTCGGTGGTCAGTCTCTAGCTCAGTGTGGAAAGGACACCCTGCTTGCCTAGAGACCAGGCTCTCTTCTGGGGAGCAGAATACCCTGGGCTGGACTAGCATGAGCAGGCTGAGGGTGCTTGGAGAGCCAGTAGAGGCATGAAGACGCTTATCTTCTAGGTTGCTAGTTCAAATCTCAACTGAGCTGAGGACAGGGAGAGGAGATGTTCACTGAGGATGTTTGCTTGTTTCCCTCACAGAATGGTTGGTCTCCAGTGAGGATCAATTTCCAGGACATGGTGTTGCCTCATTTATCCTCACACGTTAAGGAATCAGCTATCTGGGACAAGGCAAAATGGGGTCAATTCCTTCACCATGAGGATATTCTCTTCCTGCAGCATAAGCAGGATTTAGGGCAGGGCTGATCTCAGAGGACCAAGGCCCGGATGACTTCTCTTTTCTGTCTATATCCTCTCCCAAGGTGATCTCATCCAATCCCATGGCTTTAAACACCAACACCCAAATTTATATCTTCAGTCCCGACTTCTGCTTTTCAACTTCAGCTTCATTATCTACAATTGCCTCCTTGTCATCTCCATTTGGATATCTAAACATGTGCAAACAGCCTTCCGGAACCTTCTACTCACACCTATTCTACCCATATCTCAAGAACGTCCTTCTTCTAGTTGCTCAGGCCAAAAACCTCGACTCCTCCATTTGTCTCACAACCCACCTCCAAAGTGAATCATTTGTCAGTACCATGAAACATGTCCAGCTCTCTGCCATCTCCACTGCTATCCCCTGGTCCAAGGCACTGCCGTCTAGCCTTTGTCACTGTCATGGCTTCCTAGCTGGTCTTCTTGCTTCTGCCCCACCTGTCTTCTGTCTATTCACACCCAGCAACCTGGGTGACTCTTAACACTTAGGTCAGGTCATGTCACTCTTCCCATTCACAACCCTCCAGCACCTCCCGTCTAATGCAAAGGAAAAGCCAAAGTCCTTACAGTGGCCACAGAGGCTCTGATGATCTGCCCTGGCCCTTCCCTGTCTGACTTCATCTCCCACGGCTCTCAGCTTTGCTTTTTCCCCTTCTGCCACTCTGACCTCCTAGCTATTCTCACCTCAGTTTCCCTCCACGGGAGTTCCCTCCCAGATATTCATGTGGTCACTCCGTCTTTTCCTTCAGGTCCCTTGCCTTTAGGTGAGACCTTCCCTGACCATCCTCCATACAACAGCAAAATCATACCTCTGGAACTGGTCATCCCATCACTGCAGCATAAAGAATTCTCTGTGGCATTCCCTCATCGTTCATGTATGCTTTTATTCTTTTATGTGATGGTCAGTCAGGTGTGGCCATAAGAGGAGACGCAAGAGAGGTTCAGGGAAACAAAGTTTATTTACTCACAGGTCCTAGAGACAGGAGACACACCACTCCATGGAGAACCACATGGGGAAGGCCTGGGGCAGTCAGGAGGCAGAGGATGGAAGAAAGGGAAATGCATTAGGCCAGAGCCTTTTGGGGGCTTTCCATGGGAAAGGCAAGCAAGGGGGGTAAACTGTTCAGAATTGGCTGGTTTGACTCTTTCCAGCAGGCTTTAAACTCTAGGGGTGGTGCCTAGTTGCCTGATACCTGGCTCTGGGATGATTAAGGCAGATGGATATTGCCTCTTGGGGAGACATGGGCAAAATCAATGAGCTATAGCTCTGGATTCATTAGTTTGCATATCAAAAGCTTATGCCAGATGAGCATTTTGCTACCTCTTAAGAATCAGCTAGGCCTAGGAGGGACAGTCTCTCCCCAGCCAGAACAGTTTTTAAAGATGTCAAAGCATCATAATATACAAAGTTAAAAATACTTACAATACAGTGTATTCTCCATCTCTACCACAATGTAAGTTCCATGAGAACAGGGACTTTTTCTGTTTTGTTCACTGTTCTATCTGCAGTGCCTAGAATAGTGCCTGAGATACAATAGTTGCTTAATAAATATTTGTCAAGTGAATGAATGAATGAATGAATGAATGGATTTCTAATCTCCCCCCACCCTCTGATCCCAGGAGCACTATTGTTTCTGGAGCCACCATTTCAGCTTCCTTAAAAATAAAGGAAGGCAGGGCACGGTTTGATAGTTTTATTTGAAGGCAGAGCTTTTAATGACGTTATAAGGACAACATTAACCTTAAAAAACATCTATCAAGATCCATTAATTTTTTTTTCCATTTTGCCTGACTCATTTGATGAGAACAACAAGTTCACATGCAGTGAGGAAATCAGATTTAGGAAGGGTGTCAGAAGCAGGGCGGGAGAAACATTTTATTGTTTACTGAAATACGGATCACCCTCTCCTGTTTCATTTTATTAGATAAATCTTTTTTTCTTTTCTTTTTTAAAGTAGAGAATACATACAGAAAAGTCCACAAACCTTAAGTGAATTACTGATGAATTGTTGCAAAGTAAACACACCCATAGAAACACCACTCAAGTCAACAAATAGAACATTGTCAACACCCAGAGCACTCCCTGTGCCCCTTATGGAATCAGATGACATGTATTCTTCTGTAACTAGCTTCTTTCATTCTACATGATATTTATGAGATTCATCAATGTCATGCGTAGCAGTGGTTAATTTATTTTCATTGTGTACAGTATACCATTTTATGAATATACCACAGTTTATCTGTTCTATTCTTGATGAACTTTTGGTTGTTTCTATCTGGGGCTCTTATGAATAACGCTGCAATGAATATTTTTGTGCATGTCTTTGATGAACACAAGCTCTCATTTCTGACAGATAGATACCAGGAATGGATTTGAAAGGTTTTGTACAGACTACATTTAGGTTTAGTAGATATGCCAAACTTCTCCCTAAATGATTGTTTTATTCTAAGTTCTCACCAATGAGAGTTCCAGTTGTTCCACATTCTTACCACCATGTAGTATCATCTGAAATTTTAATTATTTTCATCATTGTGGGTGTATAGTGATACCTCAATATGATTTTCATTTGTATTTCCCTGATGACTAGTGAGATTGAGCACCTTTACACGTGTTCATTGGCCATTCTATTTCTATGAGGTGCCTGCTCAAGTCTTTTGCCTGATTTATTTTCAATTAGGCTGCCTGTCTCCTTTTTTTTTTTTTTTTTTTGTAGAATTCTTTAATTTCTTAATTTTTAAATTAGAGATGGGGTCTCACTATGTTGACTAGACTGGTATCAAACTCCTGAGCCCAAGTGATCATCTCACCTTAGCTTCTCAAAGTACTGGGATTACAGGTGTGAGCCATTTTGCCTGGACTAAGAGTTCTTTATATATTCTGAATGTGAATCATCTATCACTTATATGTACAGTGAATCTCTTTTCTCCCTCTATGACATCTTTTAAAACATCTTCTTAATGGTATCTTTTGATGAACCAACATTTTTAATTTTATGAAATTTAATGTATAAATATTCTTCTTTATAATTAGTACTTTTTTTGTGTCCTTTTTAATAGTATTTGCCTACCCTTAGGCCAAGAAGCTATTCACCTCTATTAGCTTCTAGAAGCTTTCATGTTTAAAGCTACAGACCAAATAAAATTGATTTTTTTTTTTTTTTTGGTATGGTGTGAGACAGGGGTTGCGTTTCATTCTTATTTCCACTCAGATATCCATTTGACTTAGCACCACCTATTGATTAAGACCTACTACTCTGAGGTGCCACCTTTTTCATAAATTAAGTGCTTGTATATGGCATGAGTCTGTTTCTGGGCTCTCTATTCTGTTCCATTGTTGCATTGTTCTTTGTTTGTTGTGCTGATGCCACATGGTCTTCATTACTGTAGCTTTACAATAGATCTTGATGTGTGGTCAAGTACATCCTCCAACTTTGTTCTTCTTTGATGTGAGCTTAGCTATCCTTGGCTCTTTTTTTCACTACCTTACTTTTACGTAGGATAGAAAGCATTTTTTTTTCTTTTTGAGACAGAGTTTCACTCTTGTTGCCCAGGCTGGAGGGCAATGGCAGGATCTCAGCTCACCGCAACAAATGCCTCCCGGATTCAAGCAATTCTCCTGCCTCAGCCTCCTGAGTAGCTGGAATTACAGATGCCTGCCACAATGCCCAGCTAATTTTTGTATTGGTAATAGAGATAGAGTTTCACCATATTGGTCAGGCTGGTCTTGACCACTCCTGACTCCTGACCTCAGGTGATCCGCCTGCCTCGACTACCCAAAGTGCGAAGATTACAGGCGTGTGCCACTAC